>NC_000014.9:77793531-77945046 GCF_000001405.40 Homo sapiens | reverse complement strand
GGAAAGATTGCAGATTTATTGGTTCATATTATTGAAAAAATAGGGGTGGATCTGGCCTGCAGGAATGACTACATCCAGAGGTTCAAACGATGAAGAAGGTGAGAGAGTCCCTGGATCTTCACAACCAGCAGAAAATTAATTATTTTTCAGAGCTCCAGCTGAAAGATACAGGAAGTTCTGCTTGAAGGCATGAGCCCACACTGAAATCAATCTCTGTGGCCAGAGGGGTGGCCGTCTGTCTACCCCCCTGGCCTGTGGGAGATGCAGAGGTCAGCACACTTGCAGGAATGGAAGGGAGTCCTATTAAAGCTGCAAGGGATGCTAGGTAGATAAAATGTCCACTACCAAGCTGTGTATCTGTTGGTTTTTTACTGTTGCTTTTCACGTCACGCTCACTGGCACTGGCACTATCTATTCATATTCACCATAGCCCTCTGAGAAGGCCAACCTGCAGATAACCATGGCTATTTCACAGCAGGGGAAGTGGAGGCTCAGGGAACAAAGCCACCTTCCCAGTGGTAGTAGAACTAGGATGATGGACGAGACCTCCTGCTGCCTGGCCCAGTGTGGGTGACACTGGCCACTGCCCAGAGAATAATCCATTCCAGGCCAAAGGTAGGGAAAGATCAGAGCCTACTGGGGACACCTCCTGCCATCAGATTATTCTGGATACAAACTACTACAAATCAGAACTCACTTCTAATCAGCTCATCAAAACATCTGAATGTTTATGATTTCTCCCCTAAATACCTTCACAGTATTGTCACTTCTCCCTAAACACTTGGGAGAGAGAGAAATAGAAGAAAAAGGAAGAATTTCTATATTCCTACTTACTTTTGGGCAGAATTGAATTTCTGCCAATATTAACTCCCCTTACAAAGATTTCCCTAGAAAGGGGCATGTCCCAGCATCCAGAGAGGCCCAAGGTGGTGGGGGTCTGATGCCCTGCTGGCTGGGTGAGCTCTGGGCTATACAGGCCCCTGCTCTGTGCAAACAGATGACTGCTCAGGGGGGTACCCCTGACCAGCTGCACCCACTGTAGGAATAATATAGTTTGGATATTTGTCCCTGCCCAAATCTCATGTTGAATTACAATCCCCAATGCTGAAGATGGGGCCTGGTGGGAGGTGTTTGGGTCATGGAGGCGGGTCCTTCATGGCTTGGTGATGTCTTCGTGATAGTGAGTTATCGTGAGATCTGGTCATTTAAAGGGTATGGCAATTCCCCTCCCACTCTTGCGCTTGTTCCTGCTTTGGTCATGTGACGTTTCAGCTCCCGCTTTGCATTCAGCCATGACTATAAGCTTCCTGAGGACTCATCAGAAGCTGAGCAGACGCCCAGTGCCATGCTTCCTATACAGCCTGCAGAATCATGAGGCAATTAAACATCTTTTCTTTATAAATTGCCCAGTCTCAGTTATTTCTTTATGGTAATGCAAGAACAGGCTTAACATGCAGAGCCACAGAAGCCCACCGCTGCTGCAGGAGCCCACCAGCTCCAGACTGAGGACACGGTGGGAAGGTAGAAAGCATCCAACCTCTAGCAGCCTTGGCAGGACTGGGCTCTGTGGAAGCAGCCTACTCCAGCAAAGGAAAATAGAAAGTCAAGGACACATCGCATGTGGTCAGAGGGTGAGAGGCCAAGCTTTGGCTACAGACTGCCTCGGTTCAAAGCCTGAGCCCGCCATTCATTGCCTGTGTTGCCTCCTGAAAACAATTTACTCACCTGTACAAAGAGGACAATGGTGGTCTCTTGACTTCACAGAGTTTCACATGAGTTGAAATTGAATCCATGCAAAGAAGCTAGCATGTGGTCAGTGCTCAGTAAGTATTAGCTGTCATGATTATTATTATTATTACTGTGTCATTTGTTGATAGCTAATTCTTCCACTCAGAATGAAGCCTACCTTAGCATTCCCAGGCCTACCACAAGATTCAGTGGTGTGGCAGGTAGAATAAAGCCTCCTGCCCCCCAAATATATCCATTTCCTATTCCCTGGAACCTGTAACTGTTACCTTGCATGGCCAAAGGACTTTACAGGAAAATCAAAAGGACTTTTCAGGAAAGTGATTACATTAAGAATCTTGAGATTGAGAGATTTTCCTGGATTATCCAGGTGGGCCCAAATTAATCACAAGGATGTTCCTAAGAGGGAGGTAGGAGGGTCAGAGTCAGAGGTGACAGGGGAAGCAGAGGTTGGGGTGATGCAGCCATGAGCCAAGGAATGCAGGCAGCCTCTACAAACTAGAAAAGGCAACAAAACAGATTCTCCTTCAGAGTTTCCAGAAAGCAAGCAGCCTGGCTGATACCTTAATTTTTGAACTTCTCACCTCCAGAACTATAAGAAAATAAATTTGTGTTGTTTTAAGCCACTCACTAAGTTTGTGGTAATTTGTTTTAGCAGCAGTAACAAACTAATACAAATGATCATTGTGTCCTGACACAGGCCTCCTGACTACCTCCTCCAAGCCATAGGTGTAGGGAGCATTTGATTAAAGAACACTCAGAAGGAAGCTCCTCGCATCTAAAAGCATCCCTTTCATGTTCATTTCTTCAACAGATATTTATCATGTGTCTACTCTTGCACGTAACCCATGCCCACAGCTACAATGAGCAAGGACAGAGGACAGGAGGGATCATCAGAGACCCAGGCTCTTCCCATCCTTCTGGTGGGCTCCCCGAGCCTGTTGGATTCTCATGTACAGTAGAGTCTGACTCCATTTCTGATGTTGACCTCTGACAGCTTTCAAGCCCTGCACCTCTCCCACTTACCCTTTTGCCCAGGTCTGGCCAGCCCATAAGAAAGCTCAAGGCCTTCCCACTTGTTGCTGGTGGGGAAGTTCAAGCCAGGCAAACCCTGGCCATGCATGGGAACCCCCATCCTGGTTCCACCCCAGCCACAATAGAAAACCAGAACCATTCTACCTCAAGTACCTCTCATTCAGGTTTCACTCCAGACGGAACCTGAGCCCTTCTCCTTGGGGAATCCTTTTGCTATTTACTACATAAGTAATAAAATTTATTTCACATTAAGTCATTGGTGCCTATGAGGCCTCAGTCCAACATCCATAAATTCTGGGAGGGGGGACCACCCAGCATTGAGCAGAGAAGGCAAGTACCTGTATGAGCTCAGGCTGCCATAGCAAAGTACCATAAAGCACAATGGCTTAAACAACAGAAATTTGTTTTCTCACAGTTCTGGAGGCTGGAAGTCCAAAGTCAATGTGCCAGCCCAGTTGGTTTCTGGTGCTGTCTTCCTGGCTTGCAGACAGCCACCTTCTCACTATGTCCTCATAGAGCCTTTCCTTTGCGCACGTGTGGAGAGAAAAAGAGCTCTGGTGTCTCTTCCTCTTCTTACAAGGACACCAATCCTATTGGTTTAGGGCCCCAGTCTTATGATCTCATCTAACCTCATTAATTACTTTAAGGCCTAATCAAATAGTCACATTTGGGGTTGGGACTTCAACATAAGAATGTTGGGAGAACATAATTCAGTCCATACAGTGGCCAAACAAAACATCATGCTGTGCTTATTGCCTCAAGGTCACAAAATAGCTGCTGTAGTTCCAGACGTCCAAAACCACACATCAGTCTCCCCTACAGGAAGAAAGAGCAAGGGGCAACACTAACAAACTATACCTTTATCAACTTCTAAAGAAAAACTCCACCGGACGTGGTAGCTCACTCTGGGAGGCTGAGGCAGGCAGATCACTTGAGGCCAGGAGTTCAAGACCAGCCAGGCCAACATGATGAAACCCCATCTCTAATTAAAAAAAAGAAAAGAACAACTTCTCCAGAAGCCCTCCATAAGATTCCCCTTCACCTCGCATGTCATGTGCCACTTCTAGCTGCAAGGGAGGCTGGGAAAGCAAGAGCTAAGGGGGTTGGAAATAGTCTGCCACAGGAGCTAATAATAAAAATAAAACATATTTATGGAGGACTTACTATGGTTTATCTTCTCCAAATACTTCTCCAAACACTTCTCCAAGTACACAGTATCTATTATCTAACTTGATCCTCCCAATGTACCCTATGAGGCAGGTACTATTATCTCCACCATTCAAATTTGGGAATTGAGGCCCAGAGAGGTTGGATTACTTGCCTAAGATCACACAGAACCCTGAGGGCAAAAGGATTTGAGCTTAGGCCAACTCAAGGGCCCAGCCCTTAATTACAACCCTATGCTGCCTCAGAGACAGGCAGTGTGGGGTCGTAATTAAGGGCTGGGTCCTTGAGTTCACCATCCATTAACAGAGGTCTGTAGATGCTGATGTGTACATGCTTACTTTTAGCAAGAGAAAGCAAGCAGTGGACAGGGAAGGATACCACCCACCCACTACAAGCAAGCAGTGGGCAGGAAAGGAGACCTCCTACCCACTACACAGCCCTGACAGCTGAGTTGTCCTGACAGCTCCAAGAGGATGGGGAACAGCCAGAGCCCCTGACCTCTGTCCCCAGTTCAGCAGCCTGGGGAGACAGGAAGGGCTTCATGTCCCACCCAAGGTCAGCTTTGGAGAGAAAAGTCCACACTGCTGACCATCTGTCCCTCCAGCCGTCCCTCTCCATGATTACCCTCCTATAGAAAGGGCCACCGACCACTTCCAACATTCATTACCCGGGGCTCATGGGCTTGATACAGCTGGCCACCAGCTCAGGTGAGACGCTGGCTGGCCCCTGCTGGGCACCAACAGGTGGCTGCCAGGTTGAGTTGGTGCAGATGGTTCCAAGCCCACCACTCATGGGGACTGATCAGAGAGCTCCATGCCAACACCCCACTGGGGAATCCCATTTCTAGAACCGCAAATATGCCTGGAAAACAAAATCCGTAGTGCCAGACCTACCTTTTGGGAAGAAGGGCTCAATGGTCATGTTTGTGATGTTACATCCATTTGTCATTACATTTGTGTGTATGCATAAAGAGTGAATTTGTGGTCAATATAAATATGAAAGCCACACCACCCTTTGTATTACCTTCTTCAGCATATCTGCAGCTTTTAGTTTCCAGAGCGCCTTTTAATTTGGGAGTAGCCAGCCTCTCCTAATCTCAAAGAGGTGCTGCCTAATGCCCACAGGTGGGGTTCATGAGCTGCATTTCTTCCTTCTCTGGAAGACACCTGGAAGGGGTGAGAGCCTGAAGCAGGAGTCCCAACCCTGACTGGTGAGCATTAAAGAACAAAAGCAGTAAGTCATGTTGATATCTTGTTCTCTGGATAGGATGCAATGAGAGGGCCACTTTCACCTGTGTTGTGTTTGTTTCAAAACCCCTAACCCAGTCTAATCATGAGAAAACACCAGACAAACTCGAACTGAGACACATTCTACAAAACACCTGAGCAGTACTCTTCAAAAGTGTCAAGGCCATGAAAGACAAGGAGAGTCAGACAAACTGTCACAGATAGGGGGACACTAAGGAGACATGACAACGGAATGCCAGGGGGAATCCTTGATGGGGTCCTGGGACACAGAGGACATTAGTGAGGAAATTGATGCAATCTAAAGACAAAACACAATTATAAAAAAATGCCTGGCCCCTGGCCAGGTGCAGCCGCTCAGACCTGTAATCCTAGCACTTTGGGAGGCCGAGGCGGGCAGATCACTTGAACCCAGGAGTTCAAGACCAGCCTGGGCAACATAGCGAGACCCCATCTCTAAAAAAAAAAAAAAAAAAATGCAAAAAAAAAATCCAGGCATGGTGGCACATGCCTGTAGTCCAAGGTACCTGGAAGGCTAAGGTGGGAAGATCACCTGAGCTCAGGAGGTCAAGGCTACAGTGAGCTGTGATCGCACCACTGCACTCCAGCCTGGGTGACAAGAGTGAGGCCCTGTCTCAGAAAGATGCCTGGCCCCAAATCAAACCAATTAAATCAGAATTGTGAGCATTTGAAGCTTTCCAGGTGGTTGCTCTGGGCAGGGAGGGTTGAGAACCATAGATCAGTGATTTTGAATCCAAGTGTGAGCATCAGAATCCCCAGGAAGGCTTATTAAAACAGATGGGTGGGTCTCCCCCAGAGTTTCTGATTCAGTGAGTCTGGAGTGAGGCCTGAGAATCTGCATGTTTCAACAAGTTCCCAGGTGATGAGTGTGCTGCTGGTCCTGGGAACACATGTTCAGAACCACTGACCTAGATCCTTGCAACTCAAAGTATGGACCAGCAGCATCAGCATCACCTGGGAGCTGGTTAGACATGCAAAAACCTCAGACCTCATCCCAGACTCACTGAGTCAGAACCTGCATTTTAACAAGATCCCAAGTTATGCATTTATGCATGAAAATCTGAGAGGGATTGCTCTAGAATGAACGTGCAGGGAGAGGGAATGAGAAAATAGGAGCTGAAATGGTAGGGGTCAGGGAGGCTTAATATCCATCATTTCACCAGTCTTAAGAGTCTATCCTTTCTTCTCGCACACAGGAAAGTGAAAAATAGGAGCAAACATCAGAGGAACTCTGCAATAATCAAGCCAAAAGCAGAAATGGGCAGAAAAAGCCTTCACTGCCCCCAGCAGTGCTGGCCAGGAGCACAGTGACCTGGCTGGGAGGGTGTCCTACCTAGCTGATGGCAGGGCTGAGGTAGCTTCTGCAGAAACCAAGCAAACCAGGCCAGGAGGTACTGACTGCAAGGAAAAGGACACGGCAGGTAGAGTCCGGGGTTTAACATTTACCCTTCCGAGGGCTGATCCTGTCCTTCCTTCAGTAAAGGAGTGAAAACCAAGTCAGCCTGTGCAGCCCTATAATAGACTTTGCTTCCCAGGAAGGAAAGAGTGGGAGAGACAGGGAGAAGGAAGCAAGGAGGAAGGGGACAAAAAGGAAAAACAGGAAGAAGGGCAGAGGCTTTTTGAACAAATGGCTCCTTACCAAACCGCTTTTTTTTTTTTTTTTTGCGATGGAGTTTCTCACTCTTGTTGCCCAGGCTGGAGTGCAATGGCGCCATCTTGGCTCACTGCAACCTCCACCTGCCAGGTTCAAGCGATTCTCCTGCCTCAGCCTCCCGAGTAGCTGGGATTACAAGCACCCGCCACCATGCCCAGCTAATTATTTTTGTATTTTTAGTAGAGACGGATTTTCACCATGTCAGTCAGCCTGGTCTCGAACTCTTGACCTCAAGTGATCCGCCCGCCTCAGCCTCCCAAAGTGCTGGGATTACAGGCGTCAGCCACCACCCCCAGCCCCAAACAGCTTTTACTGAAATGTTTTGTGGACTTAAGGCTTGTAGGGTGGGCTGTGGCGGGGGGTGGTGGGGGTCGGGTGATGGGAGCTGGTCTTCCCACAGTTCCCATTTGGCGAGTTACCAGTGGCAGTGGCACCCGGTCACTCGGCACTCAGGACCTCTCTTTAAATATGGGCCCTCCTGATCTAGCCCAAGAAATAGCACTGCTCCACTGGGGCAGGCTGCCAGGAAGACACCACCCTCTGTGGTTCTTTCATCCTGTTGAGATCATACGTGATCACCAGCTCCCAGCTTGGATCCTAGCTCCTCGTGGCTACACTCTTCCTAACCACTTAAGTCCAAGTGCCACTCTGTGTGACTCCACTTAAGACACACATTTGCCTAAACTGAGGGCTACTCCAAACCTCCCAACAAATTCCATTGCCCAGGATTTGCTGGGGTGCCTCTTGGAGCCACTATGTTTTCTGAGATAATATTAGATGCTCGCAGTTTTAGAGCCCTGCAGCTGTGGCAGCAGGGCCCTGGGCATCCTGTAATGCTGAAACAGACCATCTCTGATCTTGAGAGTAGGCTAGGAATGCTGCAGAAGTTAACCTGATGACCAAGCAGCACCTCATGACAGATGAGAGCATGCGCCGCTTTTTAAATACACAGATTTCAACACCCCTGAAAAACACAAAGAATGGTGCAATTCTGTTTCTTATTTTTATTTTTTGAGACAAGGTCTTGCTCTGTCACCCAGGCTTGGGTGCAGTGGCACAATCTCAGCTCACTGCAACCTCCACCTCCCGGGTTCAAGCGAGTCTCCTGCCTCAGCCTCCAGAGTAGCTGGGGAGGTGTCAGGCGGGCACCACCATGCCTGGCCAATTTTTGTATTTTTATAATAGACCTTGCTTCCACAGCAAAGTCACGCGCCACCATGCCTGGCTAATTTTTGTATTTTTAGTAGAGATGGGGTTTCACCATACTGGCCAGGCTGGTCTTGAACTCCTGACCTCGTGATCCACCCACCTCAGCCACCCAAAGTGCTGGGATTATAGGCATGAGCCACCATGCCCAGCCAAATGGTACAATTCTAAATACTTGCATGCTTATGAGCACTGTATCATAAGCCAGGACATCTACACTTACATATCTGAGAGGCTCTGGACCAAATGGGCCAGGGTCAGAATTCCTCTTCCCTCCACCTAAGAAGAGGGAGGAGGAATAATAGCTGTGTTGCCTAAATCAAAGAGGCCAACAACTAGATTAAATAAGAAGTATCCACCTGTTAAGAGAAAACATTCATCAAAACTGGCGATGCCTTGCAGAGAGACATTATCACTGCTAGGGGGTGGGGGAAGTTGCAGAATTTTGTTGAAAAGCACCAAACCCAAATCAATGGCCAGCCCTCATGGCAAATTCCACAGGAGAGAGAAGGGATCAGTGCAAAGTTCACCCGAGTGTTTCTGAACTGCAAAACAAGATCCGGGAGAGAGGGTTCTCCTATGGATTTGAACTCCAGAGATGACTCCTCCCAAGCCAAGTAGAAGGCCCAGGACAGCAGCCAGTCAATAAAAGCTTACCACAGCCCCAGGATAAGTCAAGGACACATCACAGTGGTTGTCAAATAATAAAGAATTTGCCTGGTCTTTGTGCTGTTTCCTCTAAATCCCTGGAAACTCCCAACGGATAGGAATGTCTGTTATTCATGGTGTGCCCCTTGTGGCACACCTAAGTTTATACTAACTAGATGACTTTGAATGGGGGCAAGATCACCCCAGCCTCCTCTAGGGAGGGGAAAGAAACTGGAGATTGAGTTCCTTTAATGTGGCCCATGAGTCAATCAATCATGCCTGTGTAATGGGACCCCAATAAAAACTCTGAACACTGAAGCTTGGTGAACACATTGATGTGCCAAGAAGGTGATGCCCCTTAATCCCATGGGGAGAGGACACGGAAGCTCTGCACTCAAGACCCTCCCAGATCTCCCGTGTGGCTCATGTGGCTGGTCCTGAGTTGTATCCTTTATATTAAAAGTGTAATTACAAGTAGAGTGCTTTCCTGAGTTCTGTGGATCATTCTAGCAAACTATCAAACACGAAGGGGCTATGGGAATCCCCAAATTTGTAGTTGGTCAGAGGTACAGGTGGTCTGGGGCCCCCCACACCTGAAGCTTGTGGCTGAAGTGAGGGCAGTCTGGTGGGGAACTGTGTCCTCAAGACTGCAGAGTTTGCACTAACTGCAGCTGGTTAGTGTCAGAACTGCACTGCAGAAATGTAGTGGTCCAGGTCCATCCTGTCTGAGGCCCTGGGTAACATCTGCTGGTGGTCTGCATCTTCCAGGGCTTTTGCCTTCTTTACCCATCTACTTCCTCCCCTTACCCTACTCCTGTAAATCCAATTTCCTCTGAATTCAGGACATTTGAGACCCAAACTCAGGCATATAAGACAGCCCAAGGAGCAAATGTATTCCATCTCTACAGCACTGTATAATTTAAAAGAAAAAAACTAAAAACCACAGGCCACTACTCAGCAGCTGTGTGGCCACAAGCAAATTACTAAACCTCTCTGAGCGTTGGTTCCCACCTCAGTAAGATGAGGCTAATAACCCCTCCATCACAGAGGGGATGGGAAAACTCAATGATGTAACATATTTGCAGAGCCTAACACAGACTCTCACATATGGAAGGCACTCAGTAAACATCTACCTCCTCCCTTGCTATCTTCACACAGTCCCATACTCCCAACTCTTCTTGCCTCTCTGCTCACCCCAGCTAACTGTTCTGGGTGCTGGGCCCACTGGCACCATGCTGATGTTTTAGATCCCAGGACAGCACGAAGCCAACCATTACACATACCCAAACTAAAAAGCAAGTAACCATGACCTTGAACAGAAAGGACATTTATATTTACTTCAGTGGCTATAAAAGACACCATAAAATATACTATGCAGCACACATCCTCAAGATTAATAATCAGATATTGCAAATTATACTCTCAGGTCCCTGGGTGCATCCAACTGGTCACTAAGAACAATTAATTCTTTTGGGAAATAAAAGGATTGTGAATTGTCACTGATCACTGAAAAATCTGCTTGCTGTACTATGAATAAAGAGTACAGAAAATTAGGCTCAAATTCAGGATTTTTTCTGCCCTTGTGAATTGGGTGAAGTAAGATCAGAGAGGCTCAAATACAATTACTGTCCGTGAAAGCAGACAGTAGGACCTGCCAAAGACAAAGACATGGGAATTAGAGCAGGAGCTTAGGGATGTCCAAGAAACAGAAGCAGACAACCAGGCTGGGGGGAGAGGCAGTGCTGGCAGCAAGCAATGGGGTAGAAACACAGAAGTTTCCCAGTGAAAACCCAGCCACAGTGACGGAGGTTTCAGCAAGAGGACTAAGGTCTCCAGAAGGACTGGGGGGAGACAAGTAGAATTCCAGGCCTAAAACTGGGGCCACTGAATGAGAACCAAAGGGATAAGTCAGGAAACAGTAGAACAAGGTTGGTACCCAGGTCACAGAAAAACAAGGTCCAAGGTTTCAGCTGAGCCTCTGAGTTCCTGGCCTTGGGCTTCTTAACTCCTCCAACCAGAGTCTGAGTCTTGGAAGGTAAGAGAAACCCCCAAGAAGCAGGAAGTGGCCCCATAGTGGAAGTGGCCCCACAGGTTGGAAGGATTACAGGAGCAAGAAGCCAAGCAGAAGATCACACCAATACTCGATTCAGGTCCACTCTGACCTAATGGGCATTGTAGGTGAACTCCCAACCTATAAGGAAAATCCCACCAAACAGCCCCTGGCCTTCTGTTCCCTAGATCTCCCTGGGAAACCCTGAGGAAGCAGCAACCAAGAGGAACCATAAGCCCTTGGCGAGGACCATGAGCACATTCTGGAAGGGCACGTGCCTGGGGTCAGGTGGGAGGCCAGTGAGTTATGATGGACAAATCCTGCAACCTTGAAGGAGTTTTTATTGAAACACAGTACAGAAAACACCAAACGTCACTGACAGCAGTGAGCTCATAGCTGTAATGGAGTTGGCCCCAGATGCCAAACCACCTCGCTGAGGTGTGACTTCCTCTGGAGGGTGACATGGCAAGGAAAGGGAAGGTGTTCTCTGTCAAATTCAGAGACCATGTGCACCTCCAACAAAATCACACTCCCTACAAGTTCAGTGTGCCCCCAGTGGCACCCGTGGCACATCTTGACAATGGGAAGGGTTAACGGAAGTAGTGGGGACATCCAACCCAATGGCACATACCAGGAATGGGAATGTAGGCTGCTGAGTCTTCTTGGAGAAGAAGAGAGAGCTATGCCACAGTTCAGCTTGTGGGCCCTGAGACAAGGGCCACAGTGTGCGGAGAGGATTCCAAAGGAGGAGAAGGATGGTGACATGGACAGTGACTCTGGGGCTGCGGGCCACGATGTGGCAAAAATGGAGCAGCTGGGTGGAGGCAAGATGAGGGGCTGAGGAGTGGAAAGACACCAGAATGGGGCAGGGAGAGCAATTCCACTCAGAGTGGAGCAGGGAACAGCCAGCATATTAGGGCCAAGACCCGGTCAGCCAGCTTCAACCCCTTCACACGCAGGATGAGCTCATGGAGGTTGATCTGCCATAAGTTGAAGGCCTCGCTGAAAGAGATCTGGGTCCTTCTGAAGAATGAACAGGTATTCTTCTTCTTGTGCCTGGAAAAAGGGAAAGAAAAAAGGAGAAAAGAGATAAAGAGGCAAGAAACACTAGCTCTGTATCATTTAGAAAAACTAAAGATGGTGGCTTTGGCCAACTCACCAGCTCCCTGCCCCTAGGGACTACTCTTGGATACAGGATCATACTATACCACTACCCAATCGGGAGCCAGAGGAAATCAAATATTTCAAAGGAGTTTTTCAAATAAGTGGAATAAACAAAAGCAGTTGTTTCACAGGGCATCAATGGTCTAATAAACCCATTGGGTAGAACATTCCAATGTTTCTTTCTCCAAAAGCATAGTAAATCTATGCCAACCAAGAATCTCCCAAACTCAAAAATAGTCAAAGCCTTTCCAAACTTTCTAAGGATAAGAATCACTTGGAAACCTGGTCAGGTGGTCCTGGGAGGCTGAGGCCATTATGAATTCAGCCCAGCTCAATCCCTTCTGCACCAACAAAAGGACATGATGAAAACTGGTGTTTATGATGATGACCTATTCAAGACTTCATTTCCTGAACCCTCAGAGGAAGAATAAATCAAAGTTGGCCCTTTCAGTATGCAGTATATTATGCTGTAAACTAATTTAATATTTGATAGTGGGTACGTGATATACGTGGTCAAATCTCCTTTCACCAGATAGGTTCCCAGAATGGTCCATTCCCAGCACGGAAGGGCTGGAAATTGAGCATTACCTAGGCTTTCTCTCTTGAGTGAGAACAATCATCCAGAGCGGGGCCCTTCCGACGTATTTGTCACACTCAGTAATACAGCCTGAAACCCTCTTTCCTCTGGAACTAGCTCCCTGAGGAAGCACACTTCTCTTCCTCATTAATGCCCAAAGGTGCTGAGGCATCTAAAAAGATCTGAGGTTGGACATGGTGGCTCATGCCTGTAATCCCAGGACTTTGGGAGGCCAAGGAAGGTGGATCACTCGAGGTCAGGAGTTCAAGACCAGCCTGGCCAACACGGTGAAACCCCGTCTCTACTAAAAATATAAAAATTAGCTGGATATGGTGGTGGGTGCCTGTAATTCTAGCTACTCGGGAGACTGAGGCAGGAGAATCGCTTGAATTCGGGAGATGAAGGTTGCAGTGAGCCGAGATCACACCACTGTACTCCAGCCTGGGGGACAGAGTCAGACTGTGTCTCAAAAAAGAAAATAAATAAATTAAATAAATAAATAAATAAAAAGATCTGAGATCAAGAGAACCTGAGTCACAGTCTCATCTATAGGACAAAGAGCACTGGCCTGGCTGACAAGTCCCAGGACCAATTAGTGGAGAGATACACATCACGGCTTCCTGACTTCAAACTTGGGATACTTAGATGGGGCTGAGACTCTCAGAAAACATTTCAAACTTTAACTTTGCCTGCAGGGATATCTGGAGATTGGGAAGCTCAGGCAGGGCCCTGTAGACTGGTGGGGAAAGGTGGCAGCAAAAGCAGGACCCCTGGGGCAGGCCAGGGGGCTAGGAGGGGAGGAGAGGGAGGAGCCCACACTCACTCAGCTAGCGCTCTGATGCAGCAACGTGACATGTTGAGAAAGGAGCTGGCGCTGGCGCGGGTGCCCAGGGCGGCCTCAATGCCACGCAGCAGGTCGTTGGTCTTCAAGATGAGCAGCATCTGGCGCGGCACGTGGTTGAGGAGATGGCTGATCTGGGGGAGGTAGTTGGCCGCGTTGTTGCGAATCTCTAAGTCCTGAAGCAGCAATGGGGCAACAGAAACAGATGGTTGGTATGGGCAGTGGGGCCAGGGGTGGCAGGGGTCTGGCAGGCTGTGACCAGAGGGCTGCAAAGAAGCCCCAGGAGGGAGCTTCAGGCACCGCTGTCTTGGCACTGCTAGGAGCACTCCCCATAGAGAAGTCTAGCACAAGGCACTGTATAGCCTGACAAACCCGGAAGGGGATATCTCAGCCAAACTTCTAGGAAAGCGTTGGATGTGACACAGTATACATTGCGAGAGACCAGGTTATTCTCCATGGCTTTTTCACTGGCCGCAATTTTAGATCAGGTCTGGAAGGACCCCCAGAAGCCAGTACCAGCTGAGTCTGGTCTCCTACCCCTCCAAGCCTAGCTCAGGCTGACCTGACTTCAACCCAACTCCAAAGTCCTGCCCCATAGCCTGCACCCTGCCAGACCATGCTGCTGCTCACGCTCCATTGCTTACCACTGTCCTCGCATGAGAGCCAGTCTCATCCCACCTGTGGCCCAAGGTCTGATGCCCTGGCCTAGGATCCAGGATTAGCCCTTCATGCTGGTCATCGCCACAGCCCTTGACCTACCTGGTCTTTAAGTTTGGGGTCTGGCCTCCCCACGATCCCTGTCCCTACACTCTTCACAGCTCTAAGCAGATAAATGCCCCCAGCAAAATCCTAAATATAAGTGTGGTTCTGACCCCTTTTCAGTCTCCATAGATATGATGATGATGGTGACGATAAGCACCATATATTGAGCATTTACTAAAGAAGCCAGGCACTTTGACAATGTTGGCACGTATTAATTGATTTAATCCTCACAACAACCCTATCGGTGTATTATCCCCATTTAAGATGAGGAAACACAGGCATTGAGAAGTTAAGTGCTAGTAAGTGGTGAGATGGGACGTGAACCCAGGCAGTCCAGCTCCCGAGCCTGTGCCCTCACCATCTGGCAATACCACACCTCCTCACCTCACCACAGGACTCGACGACTCTGGGTAAGTCCTCTAATCTCTTTCAACTTAGTGTCCTCACCCAAAAATTGGGAATGCCAATACCCTCTGTGCCCGCCTCCCAGCAGCACTGGGAAGGTCACCAGAGATAAGGTCTGAGGAAGCAATCAGTGCCAAGTCATAATGAGGAGACCCGGGGTGCTGCTGAAAGTCTTTACCACCCCACTCCTCTCCGAAGCAGCAGGGCTCTCAGTCCTTTCAGAAGCACGTGTGCGCTGCTGAGAACAGAGTCACTGCAAAACTTGAAATGTCTTGAACTGCCTCTCAGGCAGGAACTATCAGACTGGAACATCTCAACACAAAGCCAGACCTTAAGAGGCACCTATGGCCACAGCTACAAGTCCCCTGCTCACCACAGGGACCCCCCTCTCAGCACGGTCGGACTGGCCTGGCAACAGCCTCTCAGCAACTTCAGTCACCCAGGCTACTACCGGGGGACAGCTCTCAGAGCAGCAGTCTCCAGCTAAGACACATCCTGATGGTGGGTGTCTGCAGTAGACCCTGTTGGGTATCTACCTAAGTCTTCACCCCAATCTCCTTTATTAAAAGAACCCAGGCTCACACCTGTAATCCTAGCACTTTGGGAGGCCAAGATGGGCAGATCACGAGGTCAGGAGTTCGAGACCAGCCTGGCCAACATAGCGAAACCCCATCTCTACTAAAAATACAAAAGTTAGCCAGGCATGGTGGCATACACCTGTAGTCCCAGCTACTCAGGAGGCTGAGGCAGGAGAACCACTTGAACCCAGGAGGCAGAGGTTTTGGTGAGCTGAGATCACACCACTGCACTCCAGCCTAGACAACAGAGCGAGACTCTGTCTCAAAAAAAAAAAAAATTTTGTTCACTTGATCCCTTGGGGTCATGCTCCATAGGGAGGTGCAGCCCCTCCCTGGCCCCAGCAGGGAATCTGGATTGAGTTCAGCCAGGGCTAGCTCTGAGCTCTCAGCCCCTTGCCACATGACTGGTTTAGGCATGGACACGTGACCTGCGTCAGCCAATGAGGCAAGAGGAAGCTGTTGGAGGGAGGCCGGCACTTCTAAAAAAGGTTTTCTTGCTCTTAAATGATATAAGGAGACATAGCGCCTTATTCCTGCCTCTAGCCACACTGAATGAAGATGTAAAGCTTGGAACCACACAGTCATCTTGAAATTGTGGTGGAAAGCCCAGAGAATCACAAGTTAGCCCAGGGACCTGAATTTGTTGATCCACTGAGCTAACCCACCCATCTCCAGGCTTCTTGTAGGAGAGAGAACAAATTCCTTATGTTTAAGCCACGGTTAGTTGGGGAAAACATTCTCCTTCATACAATGTTGGAGGTTCCCCTAATCCTCAATGAGAGCAGGGCTCAGAAAGACTGAGCCTGTGGATCCCTGAGACCAGGCTGACCTGGAGTAGCTAACTTTATGATCTATCTGGGTTGTCTAAAGTGAGCAAATGGAGGAAGTGTCTCCAGAACATTCACAAATGCCCCTCTACCAGACCCAGTCCCAGGATGGCAGGGACCTTATAAAAAGATATACAAGACGGGGTCTTTGCCTTCCAAGTACTCACCACATAGTTGGAGAGTTAAGGCGTGCAGACAAATAACTACAAGGGGCATGGTGTACTTGCCTTGTTAGTAATACAAGTATTAAGGGGTGACTTTTGGCAAAGGTGATAAGAACAGGCTTTCTGGAAGAGACAAGACTTTTTCAAAGGACTGGCATTTAAACTGAGTCTTTATCAATAAATAAGAATGCAAAAACAGGCTGGGCACGGTGGCTCATGACTGTAATCCCAGCACTTTGGGAGGCCGAGATGGGTGTATCACAAGGTCAGGAGATCGAGACCATCTTGGCCAACATGGCGAAACCCCATCTCTACTAAATATACAAAAATTAGCCAGGTGTGGTGGCACATGCCTGTAATCCCAGCTACTCAGAAGGCTGAGGCAGGAGAATGGCTTGAACCTGGGAGGCAGAGGTTGCAGTGAGCCAAGATTGTGCCACTGCACTCCAGCCTGGACAAGAGAGAGAGACTCTGTCTCAAAAAAAAAAAAAATGCAAAAACAAAATTCTATCTTAGTTAATAAAAACAAATATACTGAGAACCTAGTACATGCCACGTGACCTCATCCAGGCCTGAGGTTTTAAATATCACCTTACCCTGAAGACTCTTAAATTTGTATTTTAAGTCTAGACCTCTTCTGTGAACTCCAGTCTTAGCTGCCCATGACATCTCTACCTTCACAAGAGAACCGTTGACTACCCCACCCCAAATATGTCCTTCCCAGTCTTCCCTACGACAGGAAGTAGCACCATCCCCCACCATAAAACTCATCCCAAAAAGCTATGATGCAGCCTTGGCCCTGCCCTTTCCCTTCTCTCCACATCCAATCCTACAGAAACTCAATCTTACTTCCAAAACACACCTTGGCTCCACTGCCTCTCTCCATCTCTGTTGCCACCAGTGCAGCCTGAGCCCCTGTCATCTCTCAACCTGGAGTCCCGGCCTAGGCTCCTAAATGATCGCCACCACTCATCTCACCCCACTCGAGAGAGATACTTAAAAAGAGCAAGCCTGGGCATCTCCCTCTCCTGCTCAGAGCCTACGAAGGGCTTTGTTTTGTGCTGAGAATTAGTTGGAACATCTTCCCGTGGCTTTTAAGACCCTGCGTGATGATCTTCCTGCCCACGGCTCCTCCGTCTTCTCATCCCACCGTCCTCCTCACCACGCTCTGGGCCATACCAAACGCTTTCTTTCCCCTTGGCTTGAGTGTGCCTGGAATGTGTCCTTCAAGTTCTTCCTGGAACTGGTGCCTTTCTTGTCCTTTGGGCCTCAGCTGAAATGTCACCTCCTCAAGCCAGGTCTTCTCTGAGTGCTGCTCCGCCCCCTTACTCACAGCACCCTACTTGTTTCGTCCAGGGCACTGACAACCTGCAGTTATTCCATTCACCTGTTTGTTCACTTGTTTACTGTCTGTCTCCCTCAACCAAAGTGTAAATTACACAGAAGGCCTGTCTGCCTGTTCATCATGGGATCCTCAGCTCATACCCACAGCCCAACAAAAACAAATGTTTGTCAAAAGAACGAACTTCAGGAACTATGGGTAAGCACTTTACATGCACTGTCAATAAAGTGGAAATTATCCTTATCATCCCTATCCCTATTTTACAAAAGAGGAAAATTGTCTGTCTTCCTTTGAGATGACGGGCTTCAAGGCTGTAGAAGCCGAGAGTTGGTCGTCATCTTTGCCACCAAGCTTGCTGGAGAAGGATGTCAACTTGGAGGAAAGCGGAGCCGAGAGATGGGGACGGATGGTCTCTTTGATGACATCATTTGAGAATCTGGATCTAGCCATTCCCAAAGCTGCCTATCACAAAGCAGCTTACAGGGTAAGCAGCTTACCCTGAGGCTCAAAGAGGTGATGAGGACCACCCAAGGTCACACTGTAAGGAAGACGAGGCGCTGGAGCCCAGGGCTTTCTGACTGCACAGGCAGAACCCTGTCCCTGATGGTGAGCAGGGGCCTCAGCTGGAGCCCAAGGCCATCCCCCACGTGGATTCAGGCAAGTCTAAGTGGGTCTGGCAAATTAATAGGCTGTGAAGACAGCAGCCAATTCTGGAGGCTGGAAAAGCCCCCTGGAAGGGAGCCCACCCTGAGCCAGGAGGAATGAGCTCGCCCCCATAAGCTTCTGTCGTGCAAGCAGAGGTGGGTCTGAGTACTGGGTGGAGGTGCTCCCGATGTGTCTCCCAGCCCAGACTCCATGAGACTCTTGTCTAGGTGAAATAGAGAAATGAGCTACAAATAATGACCACAAAAAAGCTGCTTTAGCCTGGCCAACATGGCAAAACCCCACCTCTACTAAAAACACAAAAATTAGCCAGGCATGGTGATGTGCACCTGTAGTCCCAGCTACTCAGGAGGCTGAGACAGGAGAATCGCTTGAACCCCGGAGGCAGAGGTTGCAGTGAGCCGATATCATGCCACTACACTCCAGCCTGGGCGACAGAGCGAGACTCCGTCTCATTAAACAAACAAACAAACAAAAAAGTCTGCAGACAATGAGATGAGCACCCCTGCTTGAGTGCCACCTGAGAAGTGAAGGGCTCTCTCAGCTTGTTGCCTTAGAGGAGCCATGTGATGGGAGACAGTGCCAGGCAGGACACAGCAGAAGTACTGCCAGATTTATTTAAGAGATAGTCCCTAAGGATTCCCAGAGGTCTTGTGGGAGAACTTGGGGAAGGCCTGGAATCTAGTGTGAGCAGGTCAGAGCTAAAGCTACAGAAGTCTGAGTTATTATGGTTAATGTGCACCTGTTTCCTCCAGACTGATAAGACTTGGAGGGGAGCTCGGGAGGTATCACCCCCTTTCCCTCCTTCCATCCAGGGCATTATTTCTCCTTGTCTTTCTCTTCTTGTCCAATATAGCTCCAATTCTTCCCCTCCCCCAACACACAGCCCACCAGTCTAGACTCTTAGACCTTACTTGGAAGGGGTCCACAGGCCACCTCTAGCCCTGCCTTCTGCATTTAGGAAGAGGCAGGGCCTGGAGGGGCCCCCTACCTCAGTGGCAGTGACGGGAGCTTGGCTGATGCCTCTGTTGACCGAGTCCCACGATCGCGCCGTCAGCATGCAGGCAAACAAGGGGTAGAGATCCCCGGCTCCCAGTCGCTGGCTGTACTCCTTCACTCTCTTCATGTCAGTCCAGATCAGAGACTGCCAGAGGTGGCAGTAATTCAGGCGGAATTCTTCCGTGAGCATCTAGGGTGGAGGCGGCAGCGGTGGGACCTAAGCCTCGTCTCCCCACCAAAGGCCCAAGTCCCTGGCTGATGCCAACCATTGCAAAAGACGACGGTGAGGACTGTGCCTTCCCACGACATCTGTTTCTCCCCCAGAGCTCTGCCATCCCTGAAGCTTCAAGTTCAAAGCGACTCTTTGGCAAGCCTCGACCCTGAGTGGTAGTGACTATTAACTGCCCAACCAAGTCTACATTCTCCTCCTCTTCCCAGGTACAGCCTCCTTTCTCAGCCTCCCTCAAAGTTAGATGTGGTCCTCAGCATGAGCCCAACTGACGGAATGTGGCAGAAGCTCCACTTCCAGGCCTGGCCCACAGAAACTTTCCCCTGCAGGCTCCTCCAAGCCCTCACCCTGCCGCCAGCTGCCAGCACCATCACCTCTGGTGAGGCTTGGGAGGCAGAGCCTGGCAGTCTCCTCCACCCATCCAGGACTGGCATGTGAGCAAGCAATTAAGCTCCTGCTGTATCTGGGCCATCATTTTGGGGCCACATGTGAAAACAGCTAGCCTACCCTAAACTAATGCATTCTACTTCGTTAAGCCTTTCAGAAGAGGCCAAGATTCTGGGATGTGGGATCAGGTCACTGAGAGAAGGAGCAGAATCCCCTGGGGCCCAGATTGGCAGTGAACTTCCCATCTTCCAAGTAGGAGCTCCTGGCTCCTTTGAACCAGATCTGCATCCTGAGGACACAGTCTGAGGCCCTCCAGCCCCCACTGGCTGCCTGCCCCCTTTCCCACTAGGTAGTATATCCTCAGTAGGCCTAAACATGTAGTTACTCCTTCCCCGTAAAGTCCCAGCTCATGCAGAGGACAGCTCACTTCTGAGGATCCTTGCTGGCCTGGGGCTCCATGGGAAAGTATAATCTAACATACAAGCCTATTTCCATCTACTCTTCACAATAGCCTGTAAAGGGGGTACCGTCACCCTCACCTTCATGAGGAGGCAGCTGAAGCTCTGAGAGCTCTGTGACAGTGACTTGCACAAAATGACAGCTCCAAGGGAGAGGGAAGGGTCCTTTCCAGCTACCCTCGCTATCTCCCTCCCGGTTCTGCAGCTAATTAGAGTGGTCAGCAGACTCTAACCCCAGAGGCCCCAGGGCTGGGTAACAAAGGCCTCTTCTACCTGGTAAAGCCCATGGTCCAACAGGACAATCTCCGCCTTTCCCGTGCCGGGGTGCTTCCGCACCAGTACATTGCCGGGGTGGGGATCGCAGTGCACGAAGCCATTGACGAAGATCATCTCACTATACATCTTGCCCAGGTGGCGTGAGATCTGAAAGAGAAGAGGGGCAGGTGGGAGCTCCTCTCCACTCACATCTATCCGAGGGACCTCTGTCTGGTCTCTCAATGTGGTCACTTTTAAGGGGAGGCCAGAGAAAATCGGTGGGCCGGAGCGGTTGTGGTGGGAGTGATTGTTTGAGATGACATACTCTTTGAGTTTAAGATTTCTTAACTTTAGCTGCACCTTAGAATCATGAAACCATGTGGGCGGTACAAGGCACCAGTATTTTTTAAAGTTCGAGGTGACGTGAACATGGGATTAGGTAGGAGAACTGCACTCTCCACCTCCCACACCCGCCCCCCGACTTGTCCCCCATTTCTCTCCTCCATACCCTTTTATCAGTCCTTCTCCATTTCCCCCCAAAGCTGAGAATGGGCTGAACAGCTGGGCTGAGGGAGTCATTCCACTCACCCCTTCTCCAAAGAACAGGGTGAGGGGGCTGAGGATCAGGAGCAGGTGACCCCACCGCCTCCTCTGGGGCTGCCCCACCTGCTCCAGGCCTGTGCTAGGTGGACCCAGAGTCACAGGCCCGCCTCCCCTCTCCCTGCTCCCCTCCCCTCTCCCTGCTCCCCTCCCTGCCAGAGCCCAATGCTAATCTGATTTATGATGTCTGCACAGAAGAAATGACACTAGAGAAGCCGTTTAAATCATCCTGTCACTGCTGCTCTCCCTGACGAGGCAGTCTTCTTATCTCTAGTCCCTTTTTTATTAAAGCTAAAAGCCTCTTCCCCGCTAAGGAACAGCTGCTGAATAAAGCCAGACCTGGGCCCATAGAGGGTCTGTTGACAGGTTTCCAGGGAACAAAGAGATGCTCGACCCAGAAAGCTGACACGCCAGGACACAAGCTGCCCTAGGCAACCCTCTCGGCCTCGGCTAGACCCCATGGTCATTAACAAACCTAACCTGGTCAGAGGGGAGAGGAGCTGGGGCCCACGGGTGGGGAACACAGGATTGGGATCTTAAAAATTCTCCTCTTTCCCCCAGCCTACAAAGTCCTACCTGACCAGGCCCTGCCTCCTGCCTGGTCTCATCTCACACCACACTGACATTCCAGCCATATTCACTCTTTCTCTTCCCCAGCAATCCGTGTGCTTTCTGGCCTCAGGGCCTTTGCACATGCTATTCCTGCTGCCAGGAGCATTCTTGCCATCTCCCCTTCACCTGGCTTACCCTCTCTCTTCCTTCCCATCCCAGATCAGCATCACCTCTCTGAAGAAGCCCTCCCTGGCCTCCCAGGCAAAATGAGGTTCCCTTGCCATACGTTCTCAAAGGCCTTTTCTTTCAGGGCACTAGCTCACTATTTGTGTGATTATTTGATTAATGACCATCTATCCCACTATCATAAACTCCCAAGATAGGAGGGACTCGCTCTGCTTTATTAAACAGCTTTGTTGAGGTATAATTTATGGACCACAGACTGGCTCTATTATGTATCCACTTGCTTGTAACAGTGGCAAACACGTGACTACGACTCTGCGTTCAACGTGAGACCCTCATCTCTCTGTTTTCCTAAGATGCTGTGGTTCCTGCCTCGATGTTTATTCTAACCCCATTCATCTCCTCTGAATCCCAATCAATTATAATTTGCCCCAAATTAAATCATCAAGAATGACCCTAATTTAGTAACAACCAGCTGACATCCTTATTAGCCTCCCAAAGGTAGGGACAATTATGATCCTCATTTGCAGATGTGAAACTGATTCATCAAGGTTTAACTAACTCATGGCTAGAAAAGGGTCGAGCCAAGATTCACACCAGCTGACCCCGCAGCCTTCTAGTAACTGCTATTCTACGCTGGCTTGCACCCACTTCTGCACTTTTCAATTGAGCGCTGTGACCTTAAACAAGTTCCTTATGCCATCAGCTTCAGTAAAATGGAAATAATAATAGTCCCACTCTCAGGGGTCACTGGGAAGGTAAACGAGAATGCCACGGTGCTGTGCCCTGGTGACTCTCATAAGCGCCCCCGATTCCTCATAACACCCCTGGAAGGTGAGCAGACTAGCTTTCATTGTATGTTTATAAGAGGTGAAGAGATGTAAGACACTATGCCCGCTACCACGCCAGCCCTCCAGCTCCTGCCATTTTCCTGGGGTGAAACAGACATCCCTGCACTCAGTGTCTGTTGGCCTTAGGAGCAGGACTTTGCCCCAGGTCAAGTTCTCAGACTCAGGCTGAGATGCCAGATGCCCCAGGGCCACCACTGTCTGCTTCCCTGGAGAGGGGGCCCCCAGCCAGGGCTGGTCCTGGGTGGGCCAGCAAGTCAGTCCCCATCTCGATGCCACCAATAACCTCTTCTGTGAGGCTCTTTGGAGCTTCATGGAGCCATGCTTTGAAAGGCTGTATCTGCCAAACCAATTGCATTTATTAAGTAATCATTCATTTTTATTTGTCAAGGACACATATAAGGTCCAATCAGGGCTCCTGATCAGCCCAAGATAAGCAGTGCAGCCAGACTGAGCTGACAGAATTCCAGCCAAAAAATGAGAGAAATGACATTTCATTTAGTCTGGGCAGGCCTGTCATGGGGAGATGTATGATCTCCCTTAAGCTTTCTGAAATATTGCTAATCGCTCTGGGCCCCCTATTACTACATTGAAAGATGGCCCCTAAGGGTCTGGGGGCTCAGGATTGGGAGCCCTTGCCTCTGAGGAGTGAGCTGCTGCTGGTGGGGTTGGGAAGGGTGGGGGCTGCCAATTGCTGCTCATATCCACATGAGAAGAGCCACCAGAGTGGCCCGCTCCATCTCAACACCCCCAATCCACCTGCCTCCAACTCTATCTTTCCATTTGGGACTGTTCCTAATGTTTGTTTTAACCAGATTTCACCAGCATAGACAGAGACAGGAGGGGGAGTCCCTGCCAATGGCATGGTTCTGTCACTCTGGGCATGGGAGATCTGGGGATAAGGCACCTCTCTTCTCAGTCTGGGTCCAAGTTCCCTTAGCGGCTACGTGGGACTAACCCCACCTGCTCTACTTGCTCACAGAGCAACCTTGAGATTCAATGTCAAAATAGGATCACATATGAGAAAGCACTTTACACACTATAAGACGCACACCACAGTTTGTTTTTCATGCAGTAGCTTAACTTTTTTTTCTTTTTTTTTTTTTTTTTTTTTTGAGACAGAGTCTCACTCTGTCGCCCAGGCTGGAATGCAGTGGCCCGATCTCGGCTCACTGCAAGCTCCGCCTCCCAGGTTCATGCCATTCTCCTGCCTCAGCCTCCCGAGTAGCTGGGACTACAGGTGCCTGCCACCACGCCTGGCTAATTTTTTGTATTTTTAGTAGAGACAGGGTTTCACCGTGTTAGCCAGGATGGTCTCGATCTCCCTGACCTCTTGATCTGCCCTCCTCGGCCTCCCAAAGTGCTGGGATTACAGGCGTGAGCCACCGCGCCTGGCCTATCATTTTTAACTTAGAAAAAATACATACCCACTATCACCCTCAAAGCCTAATTTTCAAAGTTTAAAGCACGGCTCATATAAATATAGAATGTGTGCCAGGCACAGTGGCCCACACCTATAATCCCAGCACTTTGGGAGGCTCAGGAGGGATAATTGCTTGAGGACAGGCGTTTCAGACCAGCCTGGGCAACATACCAAGACCCCATCTCTACAGAAAATTAAAAATTCAGCCAGGTGTGGTGGAGCATGCATATGGTTCTATCTACTTTGGGTGGCTAAGGCAGAAGGATCACTTGAGCCCAGGAGTTTCAGGCTGCAGTGAGCTATGATGGCACCACTGTACTCCAGCCTGGGTGATACAGCGAGACCTTCTCTCTAAATACATAAATTAAAAGTAAAACTAAATAAATACAGAATGAACATGTGTCAAAGTTTTTTTAACTCGTTAATAAGGGGGCAAGTCCACATAGCCAAAGTAAGACTAAGCAAAAAGAATAAATCTGGAGGCATCACATTACCCAACTTCTAACTATACTACAGAGCTATAGTTACCAAAACAGCATGGTACTGGTATAAAAATAAGCACGTAGACCGATGGAACAGAATAGAGAACCAAGAAATAAAGCCAAATTCTTACAGCCAACTGATCTTCAACAAAGCAAACAAAAACAAAGTGGAAAACGACACCCTCTTCAACAAATGGTGCTGGGATAATTGGCTAGCCACATGTAGAAGAATGAAACTGGATCCTCACCTCTCACTTTATAAAAAATCAACTGAAAATGGATCAAAGACTTAAATCTAAGACCTGAAACCATAAAAAATCTAGAAGATAACATCAGAAAAACTCTTCTAGACATTGGCTTAAGCAAAGATTTCATTACCAAGAACCCAAAAGCAAATGCAACAAAAACAAAGATAAGTAGACAGGACTTAATTAAACTAAAAAGCTTCTGCACAGCAAAAGAAATAATCAGCAGGGTAAACAGACAATCCACAGAGTGGAAGGAATCCATAGAGTAGGAGAAAATATTCACAGCTATGCATCGAACAAAAGACTAATATCCAGAATCTACAAGGAACTCAAACAAATCAGCAAGAAAAGAACAAACAATCCCATCAAAAAGTGGGCTAAGGACATGAATAGACAATTCTCAAAAGAAGATATACAAATGGCCAACAAACATATGAAAAAATGCTCAACGTCACTAATGATCAGGGAAATGCAAATCAAAACCACAATGCAATACCACCTTACTCCTGAAAGAATGGCCATAATCAAAAAATCAAAAATAATAGATATTGGCATGGATGTGGTGAAAAGGGAACACTTTTACACTGCTGGTGGGAATGTAAACTAGTACAACAACTATGGGAAACAGTGTGGAGATTCCTTAAAGAACTAAAGGTAGAACTACCATTTGATCCAGCAATCCACTACTGGGTGTCTATCCAGAGGAAAAGAAGTCATTATATGAAAAAGACACACATGCATGTTTATAGCAACACAATTCACAATTGCAAAAATATGGAACCAGCCTAAATGCCCATCAACCAACAGGTAGATAAAGAAAATGTGGTATACATAGACCATGGAGTACCACTCAGCCATAAAAAGGAATGAAATAATGACATTTGCAGCAACGTAGATGGAATTGGAGACCATTATTCTAAGTGAAGTAACTCAGGACTGGAAAAACAAGTATCGTATGTTTCCACTTATAAGTGGTAGCTAATCTATGAGGACACAAAGGCAAAGGCATAAGAATGATACAATGAACTATGGGGACTTGGGGAGAAGGGTGAGGGATAAAAGACTACACATTGGGGCCTGGCGTGGTGGCTCACGCCTGTAATCCCAGCACTTTGGGAGGCAGAGGAGAATTGCTTGAACCGAGGAGATGGAGGTTGCAGTGAGCCAAGATCACACCATTGCACTCCAGCCTGGGCAACAAGAGTGAAACTCCATCTCAAAAATAAATAAATAAATAAGGGGGCAAGTAAGATGGTAGAGCTGGTTCAAAGAGAATTTTGAGGAAGCAGGTGTTTATGGGCGTTTAAACAGGAATAAGAGACTAAGGTTTCTGGATTAGCTGAAAAACAGGTTACTGTTCTATGAGGCATAAAAAGAAGTCACAACCTTTGAGGTTATCTTTTATACTAGACAGAAATTATTTGCATCTCTACTGGATAAGATCTTCAAGTTGATGTATGACCACTCTGTGCCTTTAATTAATTGTCAATAGCAAAGTCAAACAAAAGTACATTTCCCTAGATATTAAAATAAATCCTCTAGGGAGCTGGTTGAACAATGCCCAAGAATGTCACACCACACTCTCCTGGCCTTATTTCTAAGTGTTGGATAACAGCTCTTAGAATTGTGTTAGTCTTTCTAGGAACTGAATTTCCCAGAAGAGGGAAGCCAGCCCCCTCCTACTCAGAGGCATTGAGGAGCAACCTAAGGCCATTACTGGGCACACGACCCTCTCTCCCTTCTATAATACATTATGTGTCTTGCTTAAGAACAGATCATTGTGTCCCTAACACTGCCCCATGCCCTGTGAACGGTGGCATCTGCATAATGACAGGATGCACCATCTTTTTAGAATGGGGCATGATAGACACATCTGACAGTAATAACTTAAGCAGACGATTAAGGCAGACACACCTGACTTAACTTCAGAAATATGGGTTGCTAGGTGAAGGTTGCTGAGGACAGGGTACTAAGTGAAAATACGATATGAACTGCATGCTTTTTACAAGTGGTGGTGGTTTTCCTGTCCAGCCTGCTGCCACTGAACTGTCTTGTAAGTTCCCCCATATAAACCATTTGTTTAAATCTATGTTTCACTCACCGTCTCTTCTTTGGCCTCTTGAACCTGGTGCCATCCCTACTGAAGTTGACAGGGGTCCAGCATGACAAATAATGATGGCTAACACACTATACCAGGCACCATGCCAGGCACTTTACACTAACAGATTCAGCACTCACTGCCATCCTCTGCATTAAACAGGTGAAGGAATCAGGACACAAAATAGAAAGTTCGGTCACTTGGTCGGCAGTTAGTCTAAACCTAGGAGCACTGGCTCCAGAGAACAGGCCTCAATCGCTCCGTTATACTGCCTCTCCACTCACAGGGAAGCTCCTCCTGGAGACAGAGACTGCACCAAAGACATCTGAACACCACCCCACTCCAACCCCAGAAGCCGGCAAAATGTTCCATTTTGAAAAAAAGAGTCTCAGTGGGAAATCCAGGACTGTCAGCTAACCAAAACCACACTGTTAACTAAAGCTACAGTACAGTGCCATTTAGGAAAAAAAAGTCAATGAGAAATCTTTTAATTGTTCCACATAAAAAAAATGTGCCTTTCACGATAAGTGATTTCAGTTATTATGCAATGCCTTTATTCTCTAACAGTAGGGAGGGGAAAAAAACCAGGAATCTATAAAAAGACTGAGTAGAGAATTAATTTAGTAAATAATATTTAAATCAATGAGTTATTTTTGGACTTTTCTCAAAACTTGAATTGGCTAAAAGTACTTTAATTATTCTATAATTACATGGATTAATTTATTCCCACCCTCAAGAGAAAATCTATTCATGTTCCTGGGGGGTGTCTTAAAAGAAAGGCCAAGATCTCTGAAGGAAACGGGGTTGGTGTTACAGGATATTGATAATCACATGAGTAGCCTGATATTAACTATAAGGAGGTTAATCATTCAAACTCTCTCTGCCTTTCCTCCAGTTTCTGCCCAGGCTTTTTGAGGCATAACAGCTTGAAAGACTAGACCAGACCTAGAGCTTTTTGAAAAAAAAAATACGGGGTCTCACTCTGTAGCCCAGGCTCAAGTGCAGTGGCACCATCATGGCTCACTGCAGCCTCGAACACCTGGGTTCAAATGATCCTCCCACCTCATCCTCCAGAAAAACTGGGATTACATGCATGTGCCACCATGCCCAGCTAATTTATTTTTTTGTAGAGACAGGGTCTCACTATGTTGCCCAGGATGGGATGGTCTCAAACTCCTGGCCTCAAGTGATCCTCCCACTTCAGCCCTGTCCAAAGCACTGGGATTACAGGTATGAGCCACTAGTGCTGGCCCTAGAGCATTTTACCATAATCTCCACCCCTGTCCCCAGGAACCACCTTTGGGATTTGTAAGCCTCGATTAAAAACAGCTGCCCAGCATGGAGTCCAAACTTGTCCATGGGTGGAGCAATCTTGGACTAACAAATGCTGAGGTGGAGTCTGTAAGCGCAAAGGTGCTGGGAACCTCTTCGACCACACATGGTGTCGGGAGAGATAGTGAGGAAGAAAGAAGAGGGGCTTTGTGAGGCCGAGGCAGTCAGATGGCTTGAGCCCAGGAGTTTGAGACCAGCCTGGGCAACATGGTGAAACCTCTATAAGAAATACAAAAATTATCTAGGCACGGTGGCGTGCCCCTGTAGTCCCAGCTACTCCAGAGGCTGGGGTGGGAAGATCACCTGAGCCTGGGGAGATCCAGGCTGTGGTGAGCTGAGATCGTGCCACTGCACCACAGCCTGGGTGAGAGTGAAAACCTATATTAAAATAAATAAATAAATAGAAAGAAGAGATGCTGAGTAAAATCACAGGAAACTGGGAAGTTACTCTAATTTTGGAGCTTCTAGGTACCTAGTGAAAGCTTCTCTAGGTTAGGATTGAAAAGGAACATCACAGAGAGGCATGGCATGGGGTATTTAATGAGTCTCTCTGGCCAGAGAGCCTCCTCAAGTCTCTGGCCAGAGACATTCATTAAAGTTACCCAGATACCAGAGCAGGTGGGAGGGGTCCTAGGGACCTTGGCTATGGGAAGACACAGAGAAAGGGAGGAAAAGCAGAGACATCTGGCATCTCTGGCCTTGGACAACAACTCAGTCCAAAGAAATACTTTCCTATCTTTCCACCTTACCTGGGTCAATATGAAAAATGGGGAAAGGGTTTCTTCCCTACATGTTTCCCCCCATCTTTTGGCACATAATGTACTACGAGCACCACATGACACCACAAAATTCCAAGGGGTGGAATTCAGCATAATTCAACATGTGATGAGGACATATGCTGGGCCTGGCACCGTACCAAGCGTTCTGTTTCAGTCATCAAACGATCCAGTGGGTTACTCTCTTGTATCCCACTTTACAAAAGGTAACTGGGGCTTCAAAAGGGTGAGTAGCTTCACCAAGGTGGCACAGCTTATAAGCAGCAGAGCCAACACCTGAATCCAGGAAGGCCAACTCCACAACAACACAGTTACTCACTCCTGACACCTTTGCTGTGGAGGAAATAAATTTCCAGGAACTCATCTCATACACCTGGACCCCTCTAACATCCCTGAGCTCTTTTAAAGATTTGGTCCTTTTGTCCTTGTGATAGTTTGCTGAGAATGTTGGTTTCCAGTTTCATCCATGTCCCTACAAAGGACGTGAACTCATCATTTTTTATGGCTGCATAGTATTCCATGGTGTATATGTGCCACATTTTCTTAATCCAGTCTATCATTGTTGGACATTTGGCTTGGTTCCAAGTCTTTGCTATTGTGAATAGTGCCACAATAAACATACGTGTGCATGTGTCTTTATAGCAGCATAATTTATCACTCATAGTTGGGAATTGAACAATGAGAACACATGAACACAGGAAGGGGAACATCACACTCTGGGGCCTGTTGTAGGCTGGGGGTAGGGGGGAGGGGGGAGGGATAGCATTAGGAGATATACCTAATGTTAAATAACGAGTCAATGGGTGCAGCACACCAACATGGCACATGTATACATATGTAACTAACCTGCACGTTGTGCACATGTACCCTAAAACTTAAAGTATTAAAAAAAAAAAAAAGATTTGGTCCAAGAAGCAATGAAGGGATGGACAATGGAAGAAGATGTTTTCTTCTGGTGATTTTGGTAGAAGGTCTTCATGCCTCCGCAGCTGCTCTATGTTGGTCTGGGCATCTTCTACCAGACAGCCAGACAGGCCCAGCAGGGGAAAAATGACACTGAGCCAAAATGCAAATGTCCTATTCAACTGGAGGTGGTGACAAGGGGAAAGGTAGAAACTTCAGCATGGCTTTTACAGTGGGGGTAAGGGGGTACCATATGCTTAATAGATGACTATTACCCAACTCCAAGTCTTTATACTCAGAAAATAGAGGTAAGTGGGCAGGAAGGGGAGCAAAGAGGATTCTCGAAGATTCTATGGAGGAAGACATGCCTCTGTGAACCATGAACGCATGAATTATAAGTAACAGTAACATTGTTTTTACAAAACTTCACAGTTTGCAAAATTCACACAATGACCCTATGCAGTAAGTGATGTTATCTCTCCAACTGCATAGATGAGAAAACTCACACTCAGAGGATGTTGCTTACCCAAGGGCACCAGCCAATACACAATCTCAGGGGCCCTAACTTTGAAACCCTCTGCTCTTCCCACCCAGGACCCAACCTCTATAAAGCCTCACCCAGCCCCACCCTCTCCCACACTCTGCTCACACCTCTATTGTAGCAAGTGCACTCAGTGCTTGCACATGGTAGCTGCTCGAGAAATCATTTGCTGAAAGCAAATGTGAGACCTTTTCGCTGCTCCTGCAATGACACAGAATGGAATTAAGAACTACTAGAAGAAGCATAGCAAGGGCTTCTGGCTAAGCATGGCAGGTGGAACCCAGGCCACGGACTCTACTCCTTCACGAACCCCACTAAAGTGACTCTAAAAGTAGTAAAGAAGGCAAAGACCCCACCACAACAAGAAAAGAATAGAGAGGCAACAACAGAAGGCAAAGTGAGATAAGCAAAATTGTGTTTGCTGCAGGGAGCTACTGAGAAGTGACTCAGCAGGCTAGAAAACATGGACCCCTAAGCTGGCAACAGGAGAGCTTTATAATTATTACTGCTGAGCCTCAAGCAGGCTCAGAAACTGAGGGACTCCAGCACCTCTGAAAATGAGATTTGGGGGTTCTGAAAAAGAAAGATTAACTGAAAGACTTTAAAAGTACCAGCTAAACCCCTAGATCCCCACCCGACCCTGACAGAAGATGGAGACTGATGCTCTGGGAACAGACAGGCTCTGCAGGCTGCACCACACACCAGCAGCACCACCCCAAGGACAGGGGACTGAACCTAAGTCCACATAATGACCACTGAGGAGCTCTGGCACTCTCGCCTCCTGGATCCCACGTCTCTGGGACAGCCAGGCTGGTGTCCCTTCTAAAACCCCATCCCAGGACTACCCCCAATCTTCACGGACAGCAGTGTCTGCCCACCAGACCTCCAGTCATCTGTCCCTGCTGCCCCTACACTCCTGTCTCTGTCACCTCTTTCTTGGCTAATTTCACACAAATTACATTGAACCTCAGCCTCGGCAGGATCTTAAACACAGACTCACTGAAATCCAATTAACCTTCGATAAAGGTCCAGCAATCAATAGTTGTTCTGTGGCTTGGGGAGGCGCCACCCAGCCCGGGAAAGAGGACTCCTGCACGACCTTTACTTTTAATGAGATCAATGACAGTCATTGTCGCCAGCTCTTAAAGTGACTGGCAAATATGATCACCAGGTCAGGCCCTTGGTAATATCTGCTTCTGGGCTCACAGACACAAACAAATGAGGGCCCCTGCAGGCTGCTGGCTCCCGAGGCCCGTGCTTGCTGGCAGGTGGGCACCCCTGGGCAGGGCTGTCTCGGGCCTGGAGGTGCAGATCAGCAGGGTGAGCGCAGATGGCACTTCTGGCAAGGCCTGAGCCCCTGGCTTCATGTTTCAGTATGGGGAGTCCTGAACTTCAGTGAGTGTCTGAACCGCCTGGACAGTCTGTTGAAATGCAGATTCTTGCAAACTTCTACAATCCTTTCCACCCCGGATTTGGATTAGTGAGTTTGGAGTAGGGCCCAGGAATCTGCATTGTTAAATAAGCTCCCCTGGTGATTCCTTTTTTTCCCCTATAGTGATTCTAAAAGAGATGGTTGGTGAACAAGTCTTAGCTCCCACCAAGCTGAAGAATCAATGTTCTTGGTTAGAGCCTAGCTAGTTCCACACCTTCAATAAGCATACTGAGGACCAGAGAGAGGATGTGATTTGCCTAAGGTTATACAGCAAGCTACCAGCAGGACAGAGATTGAACCTATCCCTCTTGCCTGCTAAACTGTTGTTTCCCTATCCAAGTCTATTGGGCCGAGTGGGACTGGGATGCTGTAGGGTGAGGAGGCCTCTTCAAAGCGGAGTGAGGCTGATACAACAAGTGGTTGGGGGCTCTGGAGCCATCCCCACCCACCTCAAGAGGGGTCCCTTCTACAGCCATCTTCCAGGATAGACATCTGCTTATAGCAGCTAAGATGCCACTAATCACACTACACCCTAGGATTCAGAGTAAGACTTTCGCCCCTGTCACTCCTATCTAGCCCTTGTACCTCCCTCCCCAAGGAATGCTCACAGCCAGGCTGCCCTCAGGAGGGAGTCACTCCAGGGCTGGCTCGCTGAGTACCACAGTCCTAAGGAGACTTTAGAACCTCAGGAGTCTATCTGAAACTTTCAGGATTGTGGACTCTTTCATTACACACACACACACACACACACACACACACACACACACACACACGCTCCTCCGTAGTCTTCAAGGCCGTGGCTTTGATGTTAGTTGGTAAGAGACATGATAGATTAATTTATTCAGAGTAAGGCCTGTCCCTAATCTACTCCCAACACTACTGATGGTAAGTGACAGTACTTAGAGCACCATAGTGGCCCATAGCCCACTGTGGGGGTTTCTGCGGAAGTATTTAATAACATCATCTCAGACTGCCAAAGAGCTACCAAGTCATGCAAAGCCTAAAAGCCAGGGACTGGGGATTAAGAAATTAACATAGTGTGGCATTACAAGGATAGACCAATGAAACAAAATAGATTCCAGAAGAGCCCCACATTGATGACAAAGACGTCAGATCCCAAAACTGTATGATTCCATTTATGTGAAGTTCAATAATGGGTGCAGGTCATCTATGGTGGCAGAACTCAAAAGAGCATTAGCTCCGGGAGGGACGTGAGAGAGCTCGCCAGGGAGCTAGAAATGACTTGCAACTTTATCTGGACAGTGATTACATATTATATTCACATGGAAACTTACTGAGGTATACAATTAAAATTTGTGACCTCAGGTAAGTTATCTTCCCTCTCTGAGTCTCTGATTCTTCATCTGCAAATCTGAGACAATAAGACCTCCCTCATAAGTTGATAATGCAGAAAGCTCCTGGTACACAGAGCCAGGCAGTCAGTAAACATTAATGGTTTAAAAAAAAAAAAAAAGAAAGCTGGGGAGGTAGAAGAGAAAAAAATAGCCCAATGACAACAACAACAACATTCATCTCACTATCATTTTGGGGAACTTACTTAGCACACGCCAGGCACTGTGCAAAGCATTGTTTGTGCATTAACTCACACAGTCCTCACAAAATCACTTACTTAGAGATGGGTACGATAAAACAGAAAAATGTTTCTATGAAGTGATCCTTGATGTAAGCCAGAGAGAGAGGTGTTACATTCAGACACTGCCTTGGTGCAGAGCAATGCTTCTCAGATGGTGCTCCAGCTCCTCTGAGTAGTTAGTTACCAAGTGGCTCCAGGTTCCAGCAGCCCAAGGTATTGGGTTGGTGCAAAAAGAATTGTGGTTTTTGCAATGGCCCAAAATAAAAAACAAAACACACATTTACCTTTGCACCAACCTATAGATCCCTGGCAGGGAAATGGAGAAGGTAGAGGGGCAAGGACTTTGGAGTCATGCAGACCTGAGTTCAAACCCTGGTTCTACCCCTGCTAGCTGTGTGATACGGGGCAAGTTGTTTAACCTCTCTGAGCATTTGCTTTCTCATCTGTAAATAGGGTTAATAATATATACTGTATAGGAGAGCTGTAATGAGTAGAGATTATGTGTGTCATATGCCTGGCACATATTAGTTGCTTATAATTATTATTAGTTATTGTTTTTCCCCAAATAACTCTGATATCAGCTTGCCCCATTCTGCATGTCCACAAGAAAACAACCAACACTCTCCCCTAGGCCTGCCTGGTAGAGGCCAATCTAGGGTGTGAGGCTGGTTTGTTTACCCATTCACTAATTTAAGAATGTCTACCAAGGATCTGCTCTGCACAGACCACTGGCTTTATCTACAAGGTATCAAAAGAGCGGGGAGGCAGAAGCAGATGAGACCAGTCCTCAGAGGGTACGCCCTGCCCAGCTCCTACTGCCCAGCTCCAGCCTAGCTGCCCCCTCCGGCCAGGCACAGCACTCAGCCATAAGCAAACAACTACCCAGAGCGCACCTTTCTGTGTTTGCATTTGTTTGGAAAATCAACGTTGCCTCTGATTAAACACCATTACGGCTCTGGGCTCACTGGATCCAAAGAGATTAATGGACTTGAGGGTGTTGCTGGAATGAAAATGCCTCCACAGCTGGTAGTAAGTAAATGCCAGGAACCTGGCGGGGATGAGGCCTCTGGGATATTTCCTGATCAGCAGGCGACAGACCCTGTTTCCCTTTAAGGCCGTTCAGGAAAGGCCAGAGGTGGCCTCCCATCCCATCGAATCCCTTCGCCACTGGAACCAAAGACTGTATTCTGCTTGAACACCTCCCATGTACCACCCTAGAAGCCACCAGTGAAGGCAGCAGAGTCAGAAGCCCTGACTTGTGTTACTGGCCAAGTGACCTCAGGAAAGACATTTGCTCCCTCTCAGAACTTTTCACCCCATCTGTAAAATAGAAGGATGAACTCTTTTTCTCATCCCTTTCCCTCCAAGCAGCAGAACTCTTCCAGAAAAGTCCAATAGGCAGCTCACGCATTGGCAAAGCTGCCCTGGGTAAAACAGAGTGGTATCTGTTTCAGTGTAGCCTGCCCATATCCCACACACCCCAAGGCCCTTGAATGGGTTATTGAAGCACTGTTCCCTAAGTCAGGGGACAACAGCTTTCCTAGAAGGCCTGAGCCAGCCACAGAGAAACGTTCCCACCATGCTCCTGGCAGCAGCTCTGTGCACTTTGATGCGGCCCCTCCTTTGTGGCCTAACAGGAAGAGTGAAATCAGGGAGACTCAGGTCTCAATCCCACCTCTGCTAAGCTGTGTGACCTTCTCTCTCTGAGACTCTGATTCTTTGTCTGCAAAATGGAGACAATGAGACCACCCTCATAAGTTTATTATGGAGAAAAGGGCCTGGCACAGGGAAGTTAGGCATGCAATAAATGCTAATGGTAAAAGGAGAAAGAAAGAACAGAGCCCAAAGATAATATAAGGAAATCAACAACCACCACCCAGCTACTCTTCTGGAATGCTAGCCACACACCAGGCACTGTGCTTAGCACTGTTTGCACCCTAACTCACATAGTCTTCACAGCCCCTCTTAGAGGCAGATACTGACCCCATTTACAGCAGTCACATGGCCACCAGGAGGCCTGTGCAACCACCACACTCCCCTGCCACCCCCCTGGGCTCATCTGCTGAGCCAAGGTATGGCTTTCTCCTGTGGGCCAACTCCCCATTGGGACCACATGCTCACGCTCATCTTCATGCACTGCCTGTGGACATGGGGAGTGGAATAGAAAAGAGCATTCACAGCCAGGCGCGGTGGCTCACGCCTGTAATCCCAGCACTTTGGGAGATCGAGGCAGGCGGATCACCCGAGGTCAGGAGTTCAAGACCAGCCTGACCAATATGGAGAAACCCTGTCTCTACTAAAAATACAAAATTAGCCAGGCATGGTAGCGCATGCCTGTAATCCCAGCTACTTGGGAGGCTGAGGCAGGAGAATCACTTGAACCCAGGAGGCGGAGGTTGCAGTGAGCCAAGATTGCGCCATTGCACTCCAGCCTAGGCAACAAGAGCAAAACTCCGTCTCAGGGAAAAAAAAAAAAAAAAAAAAAGCATTTACCTCCACTGGGCGTGGCCCACTTCCTTCCTTCCATCCCAGAGGGCAGAACATGTTGCTGCACTCCCCAAAACCCTGAAGTGACTCCACAGTGCCTCAAGGTCACACCCAAGACCATTACTTTATCTCCCCACACACCCCAAGGAATCCTGCCCCAGCCCTGCCAAACTTCACCCATTCCCTTCCCCTTCTTGCAAAGCCACTCCCTGGAAAACTCCTACTCATCCTGCTGGGGACACCAACCTGTGGCAGGCCTCAGTGCCTCTTCCTCACTCTCCCTGGGGTTCTCCTCACACCCTCTCGCTGCCTGAGATACAGCAAGGATTTAGATGTGTGTCTGACTCTGATGCTAAGCTCTGGGGACTAGGTCTGGTCCCCCTGCGAGCCCCCATACCTAGCATATAGCAGACACTATTAAAATGATCAATGTTGAGCCTGGCCACGTGGCTCACACCTGTAATGCCAGCACTTTGAGAGGCCAAAGTGGGAGGACTGCTTGAGCCCAGGAGTTCCAGATTACAGTGAACTATGATTGTGCCACTGCACGCCAGTCTAGGCAACAGAGCAAGACCCCATCTCTAAAAACATAAAAATGAAATTATGAATGTTGTTGAAAAAGTACAACTCCACCCATTCCTGTGGGACCCTGTGCAACCAAGAAGCAGAAAGTGAGGGACAGGTCCTACCCACTGGCCAGTATTCCCTGGGACAAGGGGGATGGGAGGGGGGACACACAAAGCCCACCTCTTTTTTCCTGCTCTAGGAGGCTGATGCAGTTGGTTGCTGCTGTCCCCTTTTTGCCTGATCCCTTGAGATCTGGGAAGTGGGAAGGAGAGAGAAGGGCAGGAAGAGGGAAGAGACAACAGACAGGCCCCACAGAGCCAAAAGGATTAAGTCCCACTGATTTTGCATCATTGTTCTCTGTGGCCGCTTAGCTTTGTGGGGCTCAGATGGTACAAAGGAAAAGCAGGTAATGGCAGAAGGGGTTCAGCATGTCCCTGCAGGCCGCTGTGTGCACAGGGCTGGCCTAAATGACCTGAAAGAATCTTTCTTGCTCAAAGTTTATAATTCTCCAGACAATGGGCCCTATTAAAGACAAGGGGGCCAGACTCTGAGGCCTCACCTGGACACACAGGCACTTCCTGGGCAGCCTTGACCAAGCCCACGTTCCCCGGCACAGCAGCCCTGAGCTCTTGACCTCACCTCATTGACGTCGATCTTGTTCCTCTCCATGTAGTCTCTGTCATTGACCTGCCCGCCATCCACAAACTCCATCAGGAGGACCCGCTCCGTGGACAGGTCCCAGTGGATTCGGGGGACCTGGGATAGGAAGGGACAGGTCAGATGGTCTGGGGAAGCTGGGAATCGGGCAAGGATGACAATGTGGCACAGCGAGCCAGACAGCAACAGAGGCTCCTCCCAGAGCAAGGGAGAAGAGGCCCAGGAGGGACCTCAGCGGTGACAGTGGGGATGGGACAGCCAGGCCAAGAGGGAGGCTGGCTACTCCACCTCTGCTCAGCAGGCCTCCGCCCACTCCTTTAGATACCGGCTTTGCCAACTCTCCTCAGTGCCTTCTAATGCTGTTAAGAGCCAAAACTAAAGTTGGGACTTGGGAGGAAAATGTTGGAACACCTCACACCTGGGCATTGCTGTTAAGGATATTTCCTCTCCCCATCCCGCCACCAGGCCTACTTCGGACTCCTCCCTCTGCCTCCAATATTTCACCCAGGTAATGGGTGCATTGTGTGTATTGAGCAAATGACTGAGTTTTAACCAGATGATAAATTTTGTTTCTCATGCCTGTTTCCTGTAGGAAAACACGTTTCCTGGGGCAGACAACATTGGATATTAACCCAACATCTATTCCCAACCCTCCTCTTCCCTAGAGATGAAAAAAACTAAATACTGGGGCCAGGCGGAGTGGCTCACACCTATAATCCCAGCACTTTGGGAGGCTGGGGCAGGTGGATTGCTTGAGCTCAGAAGTTCAAGACCAGCCTGGGCAACGTGGCGAAACCCTGTCTCTACAGTAAATACAAAAATTAGCCAGGCATAGTGGTGCGTGCCTGTGATCCCAGCTTGGGAGGCTAAGGTGGGAGGATCGCTGTCAAAGCCAGTGTGCTGTGACCTTATACATCACACCACTGCACTCCAGCCTGGGCAACAGAGCAAGATCCTGTCTGAAAACAAACAAACAAATAAAAAACCTAAATACTTTCCTTGCCTGCTTTATAGTAGGTATGGCCATGTGACATAGTTCTGACTTATGAACAAAAATGGAAACCTGCTAGGGGATTCTGGGAAGGTTTTTATTTCCTTGATTTAAAAAAAAGGGGGTATTTGCATAGTGCTACTCTTCTTCCACTTCTCTTCTTGCCTCGAAAGTGAATGTGAATGTGACTGTTGGTGCTGTAGCAGCCATCTTGCAACAATGAGGAAAAATAAAAAAATTTAAAAATCTGAGAAGCCAGCTCTGGTACTGTTAAACCACCAAAACCATATGTCAGTAGGCAACCACTGCAAACCTTCTTGCTATGTGAAGACAACAAATTCTTTTGTTTAAGGCACTCTAAATGAGGCTTTCAGTTGCCTACAGACAAATGCATTACTAACATACACTCTCCAACCCTCTCTGACTCTCATAACACTCAAAAACCAAAAAGAGAACAGATTTCTCCAGGAGCGGGCAAGAGACTAGAATGCAACCAGGCTGCCATGTGAGCAAGGGACACCCACCAGTACCCCCACAGCCAGGAGGGAGGGGTTACTGGGCTTCCAGCATGCCGAGTTTCCCCCAAATTGTGAGGAGTTTATTTCCTCTTACAAATAAAGAAACATGGGCAGCTTTTTCAAATGTTTTGGAGAGTAAGATTTTCCTTTACCCTGACCACCCAAATTCATCTAGCAATAACATAGTGGCCCTCAAGTCAACAGACCTATTTCCTGTTCCTAATTCTGCTAATACTGTTGTGTCTTAGACTAGCCACTTAACTTCTTTACATCCCAGTCTTCCTCACTGGAAAGCAGAATTGTTTCTGCCCTATCTCAGTAAGGACCTCTGAGGATAAATGGGGGCTGTACATACAAGTGAAATGCTCTAGTTGGAACAAAGTTTCCACCAGAAAGCAAGGTGTTATTTTGGTTTGCTGCTTGACTGCGGTTTCTGCCATTTGAAAATCTGGGCCAATAGAGAAATCTGTGAAACTGATACTTTGAACTTAAAATTTAGACTTGCTTGGCATTTTTCAAAAAGTTTCTTTTTAAAAAAGTGAGTGCATGTTTGCTATTGTTGCTTTGTCGGTTTCTTTAGAGACAGGGTCTCATTCTGTCACCCAGGCTGGAATGCTGTGGCATCATCATAGCGCACTGCAGCCTCGAACTCCTGGACTCAAGAGATCCTCCTGCCTCAGCCTCTCAAAGTGCTGGGATTACAGGCGTGAGCCACCGTGCCCTGCCTGTTGTTTTTGTTCATGGCTTCCAAATGAATGGGACATATTTTCGGGTTAAATTCTTCCCTTGGGTTTGTTTGTAAACCTACCTTTGACAGTGGGCCCCTAAGGCTCTGGAGACAAGAGGTCAAATCTCTAGCCAGCCCCACCAGAGGCAGCTTAAAAAACAGCGAGGGGCTGGGCGCAGTGGCTCACGCCTGTAATCCCAGCACTTTGAGAGGCCAAGGAGGGCAGATCACTGAGGCTGAGGAAAGAGAATCGCTAGAACCTGGGAGACGGAGGTTGCAGTGGGTGAAGAATACGCCACTGTACTCCAGCCACGGTGACAGAGGGAGTGAGATTCCATCTCAAAAAAAAAAAAAAAAAAAACCAGCTAGGAAAGAGTCACAGGTGGAAACAGAAATCCCACAGGCTGGAGCTTCTCTGTGCTTGTGCATCAGGGTCCTGGGTGTACTGCGGTTTCCCCCTTTTTGGTCTCCCTGCAAACATCACCATTCCAGTCTAACCACAGAATGTGCCCCTTGCTTCTGCTGCTTAAATCTGAAATGACTAAAATATCAAACCTGGGAAACAGTGGAATTTGTCATGGGAGCTTCAGAACCACAGGTGCCCCTGGACAGACATAACATGGAAATGACTGCAAAATGCCAAACTGCTCCTGCTCAGTTAAAAAAGTGAGCTGCGCCTAAATCACCAGATGGGCAGGAGGACCTGGGGGTGTGGGGTGAAGTGAGCGCCCACATTTCCTGTCCTATGCTTCTTCCATCAAAGAAGGAAAAAATGAAAAAGAGAAATTTGAAAGAGTCAATAAGCACCCCGCACTCCCCCATCCCACCCCCAAACAAAGCAAGCTGAAACTCTAAGGAGCTCATGGCCAGGGTGCTCAGCGGCCCCACCAGCAGGGTCACACCCTGACCATTAGGACCCCTGGGTCCAGGTTCTACCTCTTTGCCACAGAGCAGAGGCCTCCCTCCTGTGGGCTCCTCCTGCCTCCCACACGGATGCCAATCTGGACCCCAAGAAGGAGGGCACCAATTAGAGAAGTTTTAGCCCAAGACCCTGGGCCTCAGCCTCACAGTCTGGCCCTGACCTCACATTTCTGCTTTGTTTCTATGCTTTGGTCAACATGCCCACGAAACAGGCTGCGCCTGGCTTGTCTGAGACAGTGCCCATCACCCTAGGCCCACAGTCCTCCTGGAGCCTGAGTCCAGCACAGCAGAAGGCCTGGAGACATGCAGTCAGACCGGCAGATTTGGAGTCAGGCTGCTGGCTGGAGCCCCGGCTCTGCCACCTAAAAGCTGTGTGACTGTGGGTAAGTTATATAACCTCTCTGAACACCAGTTTCTCCACCAAAAATATGGTGATAATGGTTACAGTGGAAGCACAACCCCACCTCCGCCCCCATTTCCCACTACTATGAGCAGAGTACTGGCACTCAACATGGAACCAGACACTAGCAGCTGCTGGAAAAAACATCGATTGCTCTTAGGACAGCCACATCGAGTTTCACAGAGGGCTCTGATACACACCAGGGCTGAGAGTTATGCTCTAGACGGTTCACTGGAATTCACAACTTCCCCACAGAGCAAAACCATATGGAGGGTGAACATGCAGGCTCTGGAGCAGGCTACCTCTATTCCCTCCCCTTAGTGGTAAGCCTTGTGACCCTGCCCAAAGGGTTGATAGCTCTGAGCCTCAGTCTCCCAACTGATGATATGGGGGTGATTATGGCACCTCCCTTGTGAGGCTGTTGTAAGAATTAAAGAATTAAAGAATATAAATCACTCTGCAAAAAAGAAGTTATATATTAATTACTATCCATCTGTAGTTCCTAATCTTTGAGATTCATGGGAAGTTATCATACTTCCCAAAAAGCATGCACATCTCCTCAGGGTTTGTCCACAATTTCTAGAGTCCTGGGCTCCTTACCTCACACTAAGGAACCCTGGCATGGCCCTGCACACCTATCCCCACCTCCACACATACAGAAATGGTCTCATCACTTCCAGTCCCAAACCCTGTGGTTATAAAGCTTCTCCCCTGCCACCTTGTCCCCAGGTGAGTCACAAACCCTACCACTTGTCCTGTTTCCATCCCCTGGCACATACGCTCTGCTGCCAGATCCACTAAGCCTGGCCTTAATCATTCAGCCTAGCTGCCCCCTCACCCTCTCCCAGTCCCCCTGACGCCATATTTGCATTCAGTGCTTGTCTGAGCCTGGGAGATTTATAGCACAGGGCTGAGGTTCTTAAACCGCACATAAGCACCGGAAGATGCCTCACACACTGAGAGGTAAAGTCTTTGCGGAGGCTTAATTATGCACAGATGTTGTGATCGGGAGCCAGTGTGCAAAAGCAGTCTATCTCCAGTTTTAAGAGCTGAACTGGGTTCACAGTGCAAAATTCACTTCCCCCTTGTTATGTGTTTAGGCAAAATTAATTACTCAAGAGCCTTAATTCCACCACTGTCTTAGGAAGGGTGTGCAAGTTTTGGAAACAGCAGGTCAAATTGGTATATTCATTATTTACCCATTTGGCATCTTCATTTGAAAAATGTGTGTTATTGTTATTATTGCATGTCTTGGTCTGGCACTTGCCAGTTGGCCCCAGCCAGGGGACAATTTTGCTGTTTCCATGGGAACAGTAGAGGAGATGGTTCTGTCTGGCTCATAGTTCTGGCTCTGAGGGGCACCCCTGCCGGTAAATGGCAGCAGAGTATCCTGAGAGGAGCACCACACTTGAAGTCAGAAAATCTGGGATGTTGCCCTAGCTCCTCTACTCAAACTGTCCTCTGCAATATGGGCTGATGCCTGCTGGAAGGACTCAACACCATAGTACCTGCAGACTGTTCAATGCAGCAGCTCCTGATGAAGAAGAAATAATCAATATATATTGCCTATAGTCAATACTTCTTAGAAGCACTCACCAGAGCCCTTTATCCTGGGTAGAATTACGTACTTCCTCTTGGGAATCCACAGAAACACAGATGAATGCCTGTCATGGTGCTAACAAACCTGCACTGCAACAACACATTGCTGTGTCTGTCCCTCCACTAGATGAGAAGTTTTCCAGAGCAGGGACAAACCTCAGCTCCCAGCACAGCAACAAGCTTGGGAATAAAAGAAATGGAATAAGCAAGTAGAAGCATGTATTAGACTCTATAGCATTATGCTAATTAGTTAACATTATCACTTGTCTCAAAGAGCCAAGTTTTCACTGAACTGGTGGTTTGAGCTCCAAGGCTGGGGCAGTGACACCAGATCTAGGCTGCACTCCTGGATTTACACACACAAGAGGGTCTGTACATCCACACCGACAATGGCAGCCAACAAAATGCCAGTCAAGCATACTGGGAGTATGGAGACGTACCCAACCCTCACCACACACAAAGAGCTAAACTTCATGGGTTCTATCTTCCACCACAGTCAATGTGTCAATACACTGCACTGATCAACACAGCTGCGGTTCTTCCTCCTGCGGATTCTCAAGTGGTTAGAATAGACACATCTTCAGTCATTCCATCCCTGTTAGTCAATCAGGAGAGCAAAAATATAGACACTTCCTCCATTTCTCATGATGTCTTCAAAAGCCAAAAGGACACCTTAGGGAAGAATGAGAGAGTCCCTTTTCCCTGATCCAATGTTCTGAGCCATCCTCCCCAAGAACAGCACAGCTTGACTGTTGGCTCTAGAACCTGCACATGGAGCTCCTGAGGGCTTGGTGACCCCTCTCGTGCATTCTCCAGGCCTGGTAAAGAAGAGGGAAGGGTGATCCATCCTAGAGTTGGAAGCTAAGCTCAGTGTAGACAACCAGAAGAGCCCTCCAAGCCCTGCACTGTTGGGATAAAGGGGGTAACCCTGTTTTAATAGGCATACACCTCAGGAAGGACAAATGTGTTGGAAGAACAGTGGTGTAGCATACATCTCTCTCCCCAGTTCCTGTGTGCTCTGAGAGAACACCAGGATGGTCCTTAAAGACCAGCTCCGGCCGGCCGCGGTGGCTCACGCCTATAATCCCAGCACTTTGGGAGGCCGAGGCAGGCGGATCATTTGAGGTCAGGAGTTTGAGACCAGCCTGGCCAAAATGGCAAAACCGTGTCTCTACTAAAAATACAAAAATTAGCCAGGTGTGGTGGCACACACCTGTAGTCCTAGCTACTCAGGAGGCTGAGGCAGGAGAATCGCCTGAACCCGGGAGGTGGAGGTTGCAGTGAGCAGAGATTGCACCACTACGCACCAGCCTGGGTGACAGAGTGAGACTCTGACTCAGAAAAATCATAATAATAAAATAATTAATTAAAAAAAAAAAAAAAGGACCAGCTCCAGGGCCAGGAGCAGTGGCTCACACCTGTAATCTCAGCACTTTGGGAGGCCAAAGTGGGCAAATCATTTGAGGTCGGGAGTTCAAGACTAGCCTGACAACATGGTGAAACCCCATCTCTACTAAAAAAAAAAATACAAATATTAGTAAGGCATGGTGGCACATGCCTATGATCCCAGCTACTTGGGAGACTGAGACAGGAGAATTACTTGAACCCAGGAGGCGGAGACTGCAGTGAGCTGAGATCGCGCCACTGCACTCCAGTCTGGGCAACAGAGCGAGACTCTGTCTCAAAAAAAAAAAAAAAAAGAACACCAACTCTAGTGCCAACTTCTCAGCAGAGCCTGCCCTGACCCAGTAGGCCATGGGAGTCCCTACTTCTGAATCCTCAGAGCATGTAGAAGCCGTACTTCTCATGGGGCACTGACAGCTGCGACTTCATATTATCTGATATTGTTTCCCACATTAAGTGTCTCTTATTACATAGAACAGTTCTGCTATAATACTTGTTTTGAAAACACAAATTTGTTCCAATGCAATTGATATGTTAGGGAATAGTTTGATCATAATGCAAATTTTGGATGTGCTTATGTGTACTATCATCTGCGAGAAACACTGTGAATGCAGAAAGCTGCATCCAGCAGAGCCGTGCCACATTGGAATACACAAAACAAACACACCTCGACATCGCTGCGAGTCGGTGAGTCACCCACATCTGGCCTTACAACTTTCTGTCCCATTTCTTTTTTGTTGTTGTTGTTGTTCCTTGAGACGCAGTCTCGCTCTGTTGCCCAGGCTGCAATGCAATGGCATGATCTCAGCTCACTACAACGTCTGCCTCCTGGGTCCAAGCGATTCTCCTGTCTCAGCCTCCCGAGTAGCTGAGATTACAGGAGTGCACCACCATGCCCAGCTACTTTTTGTATTTTTAGTAGAGACAGGGTTTCACCATGTTGGCCAGGCTGGTCTTGAACTCCTTCCCTCAAGTGATCTGCCCACCTCCGCCTCCCAAAGAACTGCGATTACTGCCATCAGCCACCATGCCCAGCCTCCGTCCCATTTCAAAGGACTCCTCCCACCACCCCACAAAACTAACAAGCAGCAACCCTTCTGATGCCCACTTCCACAGCAGGCTCAAGGTAAAGTGCCATGTGTATTGTGGTCTTATGTATTTCTTAGCCATTTAACATGTGTAAAACTATGCTACTGGTTTTTATTCATTCCTATCTTCTTTTCTTTCCTATATTACTGTATTACTGATGAATTTTCTTTTTTTTTTTTTTTGAGACGGAGTTTCACTCTTGTTGCCCAGACCTGAATGCAGTGGCGTGATCTCAGCTCACTGCAATCTCCACCTCCCGGGTTCAAGTGATTCTCTTGCTTCAGCCTCCCAAACAGCTGAGATTACAGGCACATGCCACCACGCCAGGCTAATTTTTATATTTTTAGTAGAGACGAGGTTTCACCATGTTGGCCAGGCTGGTCTCGAACTCCTGACCTCAGGTGATCCACCTGCCTCAGCCTCCCAAAGTGCTGGGATTACAGGTGTGAGCCACTGTGCCCAGCCACTGATGAATTTTTTTGAGTGTTGTGCCCCTAACTCTATTTTCCCCATAAGCTCTGTGGTTTCTCTTATGTGATTTTCCATAACTGCAGTATTTCTAGGGACACATATGTTTTGTTACAGAAGAACCAACTGTATGAGCCAAGGTAAAACACATGTGTTTAAAACAGTCCCAGCGTACAGTAGTGTTAGCTATCAGCATCGCCATCATCATCACCATCCCATGCCTCACAGAGGCAGAGACCACGGCATATAGGTTCTTGGCTAAGGCTCAGTGTCTTGTAGTTGTCGATTATTCAATAAACATCTGTTTAATTGACTAATGGGTCAACAATCACACTTGATATTTCTTTGCAAATTGCCTTCAAGTGATTTAATGCACATCACCAGTGATGTCATTCATCCTCAGTAAGAGGACTCAGGAAGAAGATGTCCCAATTATGTCCTGAAAGGGATGCTCAAGGCAGGGACCCACATACCGCTACACTCTTCCACCAGACCACCATACCCTGCATTGCATCGTCCCACCTACCTTCAAGAAGTCAAAATGCCTGAGCATCTGGGACACCTTCTCAGCATTCCTCCCTTCATTGAGGAAATCCAGCTCCAAAGGCAGGTTCTTCTTGGCTTCATCCACAAGCCACATAAACTCAAACTCTGGGAACAGCTGCTTCACAGCCAGAACGAGCACCTGAAATCCAACAAGCACCCCAGTCATTTGGCCCACAGCATATACCAAGGGACATTCCCTACCTTCCTGCCTGGTTCTCCCCTAGAGTAAGGGAAACTGCTCCCCTGGGGCCCATCCCTCCTCTGAATTCCAGGAGGGAAACATAGTAGGCTCCTGCTCTCCCATAAGCTTGGTACTCTGCACCAAGTCCAAGATGATGATAGCCCAACAGCCAGCATCGGTAACCATGACTACCACTTGCTGAGGGTTCCCCTCGTGCCCAGCACTAACTAAGCACTTATTTTTTATTTTATTTTATTTTTTAAGTTCTGGGATATGTGTGTAGGATGTGCAGGCTTGTTTCATAGGTAAACGTGTGTCATGGTGGTTTACTGCACCTATCAACCCATCACCTAGGTATTAAGCCTGGCATGCATTAGCTCTTTTTCCTAATGCTCTCCCCCACCCCCCAACCGTCGCCCAACAGGCCCCAGGTGTGTTGTTCCCCTCCCTGTGTCCATGTGTTCTCATTGTTCAGTTCCCACTTATAAGTGAGAACAAGCGGTCTTTGGGTTTTTTTGTTCCTGCATTAGTTTGCTGAGGATAATGGCTCCCAGCTTCATCCATGACCCTGCAAAGGACATGATCTCATTCCTTTTTATGGTTGCATAGTATTCCATGGTGTATATCTACCACATTTTCTTTATCCAGTCTCCCATTGATGGGCATTTGGGTTGATTCCACATCTTTGCTACTGCGAATAGTAAACTAAGCACTTTACTTACTACTAAACTTAATCCTTGCAACAACTCTGGGAGGCACACAGATACACATCTTATCATCCCTTTTCTGTTGTTTAGACAAGATGTCACTCTGTAGCCCAGACTGGAATGCAGTGGCGTGATCAATCACAGTTCACTGCAACCTTGACCTCCAAGGCTCAAGTGATCCTCCCACCTCAGCCTCCTGAGTGGCTGGGATTACAGATATGCATCACCATGCCCAGCTAATTTTTTTAATTTTTTTGTAGAGACAGAGTCTCACTGTGTTGCCCAGGTTGGTCTCAAGCTCCTGTCCTCAAGCAGTCCTCCTGCCTCAGCCTACCAAAGTGCTATCCCATTTTATAGATGAGGAATTTGAGGCTCTGAGGGGTTATATGATTTTCAAAAAATCTGCCCAGCAAGGAAGTACCGAGCTAGAATTCCCCCTGGGAATTCCACAGCCAACTCTACAGCCCTTGCTCTGAAACACTTAGCTCAACTGCTGCTGTGGCTGCTCCCCGATCTGTTCTGGTCTGTTCACAAAGCACTGGGAGGGTGCTGCAAATGTAACTGTCATTACTTTATTTCTTAAGTTGAATGTTTGGTGCTTGAACATTTATAATACTATTTTCTATACTTTCTGTACGTCTAAAATGTTTCATAATAAAAAACTAAATTGGAATAAGAAAACAAAGCTGGATAAGACGAGAGGAGACAGAGAGAAGGAATTTGACCACTTGGATGAAAAGCTTTGATTTTTGGCAATTTGACTCCACTGTGGATTCTTGAGTGATGACATGTTAAGAGGGGGTTTTAGAAGATGTATCTGGCATTCAGGGGTCAGTTTAATGATGTGAAATTAAAGAAGAGCCCAGTGATCTGTGCACAGCATACCACAGCCCCTGCCATGAGCAGAGACACAATCCTAAGGCTGCCCCACCACCAGGGCCCTGGATTTGAGATGGGTGCCCAAGTTCCTGGATGATGGCTCTGTAGTGGGTGAGCAAGGGTGATACCAGGGACATAGGAGGTGTTCCAGAATTCTGGGAGGGAAACAGAAGGGCCCTGACCTCCCATAAGCTCTCCTGCTGGCATTCGAAGCCAGGCCTGGGGAGAACATTGACTGATTGACCCAGTAATTCTTAGTATAAATGACAGTCCGAGTTATCTGAGAACAACCATCTCTAACCCTGGCTATAGCAGATGGCAATAAGAACTAACAAGCTGTGGGCCTGTTGGTACCAAAAGACCTTCCCCTTCCCATCTTTCCAGAAAGACTTACTGAGCCCCAGATAAAAGCCTTGTCTCATGCTTCTTTTTGCCCTGTTCTATGATATTTTGCCCAATGCTGTGTTGGCAAAAGAAATCAATCTAAAGCCAGACTATTAACTACAAGGCATTTACAGCTTTGTTTTCAAGCCCTATGTCCTGGGTGATGTACCAGACGCCATTCCAAAAAGAATCATCGCACCGTGTTATCATGCTCAATTTCTACCAAAACTTCTTTTAATTACATTTGGCTGTAGTTTAATTTCTTTTGAGTTTTGTCTGGTCTTTCATGGGCTAGACCTGTGACCTTATGATAATTGATTTAGTTTATGTTTTGTTTGTATCAAGCAAGACTAGAAGGGAGAGGGGGCAACAGAGAGGCCTGGACTGTATGCCTCAAGCCCTGGCACCTGGGCACCGCAGCCTCCAGACATCAAATCTCGTCACAGTGCCCTCAGATGGCCCTTGGCAGCAACCAGAGCAGATGCAGAGCAAGTGAACGGGAAACAGAAGTGATTCCCCCAGGCCCAGGCGGAGGCCAGCCATGCCATCTAAGTCACCTGAATTCCACTTTTCTGGGCTTGGAATGCAGGCAAGAAAAGCTATCCAGCATTTTGCTCCAATCTCAACTCCAGAGGGTCTCGCCCGAGAGGGGCAAGGAAAGGGGCCACAATGAGGCTCTCTCATTTGTCCAATCAATATTTACTGATTACCCTCCAGGTAATTACCATAGGCCAGACGTGGATATGCACAGAGAGCTACCTGTAGCCCAGTGAGGTCTCTACTTGGGGGTGAAGCTTCTGGCCAAACAGTAATTCCTCATCATTTATTGTATGGTCACTGTTTTTTGTGGAATTTTTAATTATCATTGATATCCAAGCAGCACTGAAAGGCACATTAAAGATTTTCCAGTTACTAATCAATTACATAATTAGTCATTATTAATACTATTCATTATTATTAACACTTGGTAATACCTGACATCATTAATCATAAGCAGTCTATTATATTAACTAATATTAATTGCTAGTAACTAATTAGTAAGCTAATTCATAACACAGAAAACTTTACAGTGCTCATCGAACTGGTTTCTAAGGCATCCTGTGGGTTGTGGGTCACTTCCTTGGTTACTTAAAATGAAGGGGGTTCTTTGAATAGAAGTCAGTGGTTCTCAGATTTATGGAATGTCACCATCCCCTTTATAGGAGGTCACCAATTTTAAAACTTGATACCCGCTACGAAGCCCAGAAAATGAACATACATAATTTTGCACATAATTCAAGGGGTTCACCAACCCCTTGAAATTCAGTGGGTGGGGAGGGGGTCAGGTTAAGAGTCGTCGGGTTCAAGTAGTTCGGGCTGCTGCCATTTTAGACTTTTCTTGGCTGAAGAAAGTAAAATAAAACTCAGTTTCACCGTCTGGTTTCATTCAACTCCCTTCTTAAATGAATCTACTTAGCCCACCTTAAGCAGATTCATTTCAATTTTTCTTTTTGACAACACATGCAATCAACTAAAATAAAACAGGTGTTGTTATCAATTTGACTTTTTGATTTTTCTCCCAAAATGCATCTTCTCCATAAAATTCTTCTAACAGCCAATGTTTTCACCAGTGCCTACCACCTACTCAACACTCCACAGATGTTTATTGAATACTCACATGAATGAATGAATGAGTAAATGAATGAACAAATGAATATTTCAAAGAGTTTGTCTGCTTCTCTGAGATAATTATATGTTCACATGTGTTATCCAAAGAAAATGAGTTTTTCTATTTCTGAGGTTTTAGTGGAAAGAGCCATAACTTCTGAATTTGGGGGAATCGTAATTTCAGAATGCCTGAGAATTCTCTACTTGATCTAGAACCTTATGAATCAATCAAGGTATATTTAAAAATTAATACTTCCTTCAAGGTAAAATAATAAGACTATCTTCCTATCGGGTCATTGGCTTGCAGGAGGAAAAATCAATCATGGGCCACACAGAAATGTAATGGAAAAAATGAAGAGTCACACATAAGTTTGAAAACTAGTCAATGGGCCAAGCGTGGTAGCTCACGCCTGTAATCCCACCACTTTGGGAGGCCAAGACGGACAGATCACTTGAGATCAGGAGTTCAAGACCAGCCTGGCCAACATGGGGAAACCCCATCTCTACTAAAAATATAAAAATTAGCCAGGTGTAGTGGCATGTGCCTGTAATCTCAGCTACTCAGGAGGCTGAAGCAGGAGAATTGCTTGAACCCAGGAGGCAGAGGTTGCAGTGAGCCTAGGTCATGCCACTGTACTCCAGCCTGGGCGGCAATAAATAGAGTGAGACTCCATCTAAAAAAAAAAAAAAAAAAAAAAAAAAAACAAGAAAAGAAAAGAAAAAGAAATAAAACGACTGACTGTTATTTACAATAGCAAAAGAGAAGGGGAATTATCATTATTTAGTTCCTACTACATGCCAGGCACTGTGCTACGAACACTTTACACATACACTTTCATTTAATCCTTTTCTTGCCAATTTTACATAGTAGAAAACAGGAATTGTCAAAACAAACTCTGACCTGGGCTTTTCTTGTTCGTTCTTTATGCAGCCCTGCCTCGTGCAACACAACACAACGACACAGGACAATACAATAGGAAGCTCAAGATAAGGCAGAGGAGCTTTGTAAACTGTAAAATGCAACTAGAAATGCAAGTTACTGTTATCAAGTTACTGTACATTATAAAAGAAATAATGTTCCATGGGAAAACAGCACACTAAATAGAATGCCTGTACCGATCCAAACTGGTAAAAATGAACGTTCAACAAGGATCGAAAATCAGTTCAGAGTGATGTACATAGCTTGCCATTCACGGGGTTTATCTTTGTTCTGATAAGTTATTAAAGTACACGCTTTTTAGAAAACAGATTTATAGGGTGAAGAGAAGTTTCCTTGGGTGGCCCACATCTCTGGATATTTTTTAATATATATTTTAAAAAATAAAATCGCTGTTGGATTCTGTGCCGACATAAACATTGCCTAGCCACCCACTGTTCAAACAACACATTTAGTAAAGAAACAAGATGAGGCTGGACGCGGTGGCTCACGCCTGTAATCCCAGCACTTTGGGAGGCCGAGGCAGACAGATCACCTGAGGTCAGGGTTTAAGACCAGCCTGGCCAACAAGGCAAAACCCCGTCTCTACTAAAAATACAAAAATTAGCCAGGCGTGGTGGCAGATACCTGTAATCCCAGCTACTTGGGAGGCTGAGGTAGGAGAATCACTCGAACCCAGGCAGTGGAGGTTGCAGTGAGCCAAGGTCGCACCACTGCACTCCAGCTTGGGCAACAGAGTGAGACTCTGTCAAAAAAAAAAAAAAAAGGAAGGAAGGAAGGGAAGAAACAAGATGGTAGACAGAATGCACTGAAAATGCTGCTCAGAAAAGGTCAAAAACATGACTGCCATGGGTTTTCACTTTTTGAGACCCTTGGGATGGGCCAGATGACATCAAGCAATAGATCAGATTTAGTGCTCAGGCCAAAGAGTCCCACCCCAACATAGCCGAGCACCTTGGGGCCCAGTAGTGCATGAAGGGCATAGTACTTGGCAATGAGTTAGATTCCTTAGGGTGAGAGGGCAAGGGAGTGTTCCTCATCAATTCAGAAGCTGGAGAAATAACTGGGAGTGATACAGGGTGATTAGGACCTGGAGATTATGGTAGTCCCCCAGCTCAGGGATCATCTGAGTCCTACCCTGCCCTCAAGCAGTGAGAATGGCAGTGAGATATGGCCCGCTAAGCTCCCCAATATTGTGGGTAGAAAAGAACTGCTGCAAAGCCAGCCCGCCAGCAGACGGATGGACTATGCTTCATCAGTTCACCCCCTCCTGCTGAATCATTGTTCCAATCTCTGGGCCCAATTAGTCTGGCTCTGGACAGCCATTCAAATCAATAAGAGTCACTGGCCGTGCATCTAGAAGTAGAGTTGCCCCAACTATTAAAGGGACAATATCAGGTGATAATGACAAAGCTGAAAAAACATCCCTGGCTCTGCCTTTTTCTTTTGTGCAAAGTCATCGACACCATCAGATTCACTGAACACCATTTACTGAGAATCAGCCTCCCTTCCCTGCCATCCTTCAACAGTCTATCCTAGAGGCTCTCTCCCCTCTCCAAGGGAGAAGGTTCACAGGAGACACAAAACTGCCAGGTTCAGAGTAGACACAAAACTCTAGGGTAGTACATGCTATTGGAGGCCAAACCAACAGCCATCTCCCCCATCATCCTGGCTAACACAACCCCAAGTTTGTACATCCTTCATGTCCTTCAAGGATAGCAGGTCTGAGAAGGTGAGTCATGATTGGTTTAAGCCAATCAAGGTGGTCTCAGTTTTCTTGCCAAGACTGATTTGGGAGTGGGCATTACTTCTGGACAATAACAAATGAAGGGAACTCTGCTAGGGATCTCTTTTTTTTTTTTTTTCTGATAAAGAATATGAGGATGTCCCCTACTTGTAACACCAGGAACTGTTGCAGCTGTGTTGGGACTACGTGCGGTGCTCGCTCAGGAGGGCGAGCCAGGAAGCTGAGATAGCAGAGTGAAACATGGAAAGAGTCTGAGTCATTACAAACAATGAGGTGCTGGGCTGTCAGCCTTGGAACAGCTGACCCAAGTTCCAGACATCTTCACATGTGAGATAATAAGGGTTAGTATTAGCTATACCACTTTCAGTTGGATTTTCTGATTCTTAGAGCCAACTGAAAGCATCCCACCTGACACAACCAGTAGTCACCACCCCCTTGCTCTCAAAAGTCTCACCCCTGTAGACCTCTATCACCCTGTAAATGCACAGTAGTTATGAGTTTGGGTGTAGAAGGTCACCTCTTAAGATGCAAATATAAAGAGGTTAAGCCTATCAGTCACTCTCTTTACTGTGAACTGCTTTCATCAGATTGCTTTCCTCTTAAGACCAGGCTGTGATCAATTATGGGGCAGAGGAGAGTGTACAACAGTGGGAGAGAAGCATAAGGGCACACCACACCTGGAGTTGGCATGAAAGGAGACGTAGAGGCTATGCAGAAAAGTAGCTTTTCCTCCTCTCTGTCCCTAAGTTTCTGGTAGCCCTAAATGTCCCCTAGAAATCACTCTTCAAGCCAAAAATGCTTAATACCTTTCTTGGATTGTCATTCCTAAATATAAGACACCATTTAGGTCTCAACACAGAAAAACAAAATATTCACTTCAAGTACGAGCTTTCCAGTTGGGCCCTTCTTGGTTTTGTACCAGAGAAAGACCCAGGCAGGACTTTTCCCACCAGAGACGAAGCCCAGTGAGATGGCAGTGTTACCCAGTGCTGCTGCTAATCCTGATGATCCATGGGGTGGTGGCCTCAGGCCTCCATTCCAGCTGTTCTCCTGAAGGGTATGAGTGCGGGTCTCAGGTTTGCCTTGTGGTCCCAGCCCCAGAACTGCCTCAGCCACTACTAAGGAGCCACTCTGTACTCTGCACACAGCCTGCCAGGCTGTGCTTCCCAAGAAAAGCATGTGATGCTTATCTCAGGGAGGAAGATGCCAAATCTTTATTACTGCTATTATTGCTCTGACCTTACAGCAACCATTACTTAGGGAGCCAGCAAGAAAACGCAAAGAAAAAGCGACAGCTGTCCTCACTGTCCAAGTGGGCCCTGATGGCTTTACTACGCAGAGGCAGCTTCCTGCCTGACTCAGGAGTGGCTTCTGGGATTCAGGAAACCCTGGGATCCTCCAAGTCTCCCAGGTCTCTCCCAGCTATGGCTGCTCCACAGCTGCTGACAGGTGTGCTAGAAAAATCAGGTTTGTAGGCGGATGCTCAGGGCCACCCAGCAATCCTGCTCTCCTGCCCTGGTCAGCTCCCTTCCACTGCACACAGTAGCTGTTCCAAACCTTCACCCACCTCGAGTCTCCAATGCTACCTTCTACCCCCTCATTCTCAGCAGATGGTCTTGCCTCCCACTTCAGAGAAAAAATAGAGGCTATCAGGCTGCTACACACTCTGCTGCCCACTTTCCCTCCCCCTCTCCTCTGCCCCACACACTCATCTGTACCCAGCCTTCCCACCTTCCACTGGGCTCGAAACAAAGGCTAAGGTTTCCACCTGTGTTCTTCATTCCCAGTCGCTTGAATCTCCCTTAGGACTTGATCTAGCAATTACTTCTCTCTGCTGAATCCCCAACCTGCCCCCTTCCCCATCAGCTACGATTCCACTGAAGTCTCCTCAGTATTTAATCCTATGCTCTGCTCTGACCACTACCCTAACTCTCCCAAACCTTCCACAGCTAAATATCTGAAAACAGTACATTCTCCATGAAGAGTCTCCACTTTCTTGAGTCTCAATTCTTTTTCACCCCGATCAGGCCACTGTAGCTGCTCTTTCTAACCACCCTAAATCGCCAGATCCAAAATACCCTTTCCAGTGCTTTACTGATTTGATCTCCCATATGACAACGTTGAGGAATTCTGGCAGACTATGTTTTCCAAAACGGCTGCAACAGTACCTCCCATTCTAATTCACTTCTAGAACCTTGCCACTCTCCCATTAAGAGGTAGAGTCTATTTCCCCAACCCTGAACTTAACTAAGGGGGCCTTTGTGACTGCTTCATCCAAAAGAGTAAGAAAGAAGTAATCCTATGTAGTTTCCAAGGCTGAGTCATAAAACTGTGATGTACTTTCAGCCTTATTCTCTTGGGCCACTTGCTCTTAGAACCCAGCCGCCATGCTGTGAGGAAGACCAAGCAGCCATGTAGAGGCTGATATGGAGAGGAACTAAGGCCCTGGCCCACAGCCCCAGTTAAGCTCCCAGACAACAGCTAGCACCAACTTGCCAGCCAGGAAATGAGCCACTCCAGCCCCCAGTCAAGCTACTCCAGCTAGAGCTGCATAAAACAGATGAGTTTCTCTACCAAGCCCCGGCCAAACTGCGAATTCATGAGCAAAACACATGACTGTTGTTTTAAGCTCACTGTGTTTTGAGGTGACTCATTATGCAGCATTAGATAACTAATATAGTGCTTTCATCTTTAACTTTTCTCCACTGAATATAGCAGCATTGCTCAATCCTGGTTTTCCTCCAATCTCTCTGACCATGCTTTCTTAGTCCCATTCATGAACTTATCCTCTTGGGCTCACCCCCCAATGTTTTGCACAGTTTTTTTTCCTTGCCTTCTTTCTTCTTCTTCTGTTTTTTTTTTTTTTTTTTAACTCTATATACCTTCTCTAGTGATCTTAACTACTCCACCACATTCATCTATCAAAAGTATCTTTACTCATACATGCTGAATTTGTATTCCAGCCTGGATTCCAGACCAACAGGGATATCCCTATCCAAAACTGCCAAGAGCACTATTTTACCCTATTTGGTTGCTGCATTGACCATTTCACTTTGTTCTGAGAGGCATCCCGATCCCCTTACTCTTATAAGAACTTCCATTTCCCAGGCTCCCTTGCCAACTTGCTGCCAGCTAGGTTTTGCCCAGAGGCAACACTGAGGGATACTGGCATACTGGGGGGGCAAGAGGAGATGGAAACTCTTCTGCCTCAAACAGCATCTGCAGCTCCCACTCCCATGTCTATGATCTGGGAGTAACATAGAGCAAGTTATTTTCCCCAGCTGTACCCTGACTGATAAATAGTTGTCCCCCTTCTCTATAGTTTAGCTTTCCAAGGTTTCAGTTATCCAAGGTCAACTGTGTCCTGAAAATAGGTGAGTACAATACAACAAGATATTTTGAGAAAGAGACCACATTCACCTCACTCATTATAATTATATGTTATAATTATATTTTATTAGTCTCTTACTATGCATAATTTATAAATTAAACTTTATCATAGGTATGTATGTGTATTAGTCTGTTCTCACGCTGCTAAAAAGACATACCTGAGACTGGACAATTTATAAAAGAAAGAGGTTTAATGGACGCACAGTTCCACATGGCTGGGGAGGCCTCACAATCATGGCAGAAGGCCAAGGAGAAGCAAAGGCACATCTTACATGGTGGCAGGCAAGAGAGCCTTTGCAGGGGGACTGCCCTTTTATAAAACCATCGGATCTTGTGAGACTTAGTCACTGTCATGAGAACAGCATGGGAAAGACATGCCTCCATGAATCAATTACCTCCCACCAGGTCCCCCCCCACAACATGTGGGGCTTATGGGGGCTACAATTCAAGATGAGATTTGGGTGGGGACACAGCCAAACCATATCAGTGTGTATAAGAAGAAACAGCGTATATAGGGTTGGGCACTATCTGAGGATTCAGGCATCCACTGGGGGTCTTGGAATGTATCTTCACAGATAAGGGGGAACTACTATATATAGTTAAATATACCTAAACGTAATCACTTAAGCCAGAAACCTAAGATATTTGTCTCCTTCTCATTCATACCAGTCCTTGCCCCCACCCCATGTGTAAAGCTGGTCACAAATCCTGATGATTCTGCCCCTTGAACCCATCCATCTCCCTTACTCCCATTACACTCCTCACTTCACATCATTATTTCTGTCTCAGACCCATGCAGCAGCTCAATTCGTCTCCTGGCTACAGTCTTTCTGCCTTCCAATCCATTCTCCAGACTCCCAACAGATTTTTATTTCTAATGCAAATCTGATCATGACAGTCCCCTGATTAAAATTCTTAAATGGTTCCCCACTGACTACAGGAAAAAAATCAGATCTGCTCAGATCCACAAATATGTAGTGAGTGTTGACCATACATACCATTCTACGCCTTAGCTTGGAATACAAACCCCCCGTGTTCTGTCCTACCTACCTTCCCAGCCTCATCTCCACTTCGAGCTCATACCATCTGAACAGGTCGAAGTTATCCAAGTACACTCTGTCCTCCAAGCAGTCAGGCCCTCACACCCGCGGGGCTGTCCTTCCGCTGCCTGGCTATCTCAAGAGTCACCATCTTGCTGCAGCCCCCTTGGTGCCCCATCCATCCAGGCACAGTGCTACATGGCACTGTGCAAACACGCTGTGACTGTTTACACGCCTGTCTCCACTAAATGAGGATTACCCCAAGATGAAGATGGGGCTCACTCACTCTCATGTCCCCAGCACCCACCTAGCATAGGGTGCAGAAGACCCTCAATATATGCATCAAGTTTGGTTAGAGTTGAAAGAATAAACTAAGAGTCCAGAGTGAGGAAGGGGAGCAAAGGAAGGGAAACAAGAAAAGGAAGAAAAGGGACATACTGACAAATTAAACAGATTGCTGACCTCCCCGTAGGCGGTGATGGCTACTGACTCAAGCAGTGGCTGCTCAGCACCTTCCGCCCTTACTCTGAGCACAGAGCTAGAAAAGTCCACTAAGGGTTTTTCCTAGGACCGTTCAGACACGTGAATTTCTTCATTCCAAATAAGTACCAGAGAAGCAAACCTGCAACCTGCATAGATGTTTCTATGTGATCTGTATGTCATTTTTATATCCCTGTTGACCACATGCTCCCTTTTGTTACAATTTAACAAATTAAGATGTAATTTTGTCTATCCCTTTGGTAGACAAAAAACACACCTTTGGTTCAGCTCATTTCTACAACATCCCTTCCCTGAGGTCCCCTTGGCCCCTAGCAGCCACTTAGTGTGTTTTGAGACCATCACAGGCAGTTCCTGGGAACTCCAGGGACAAATCAAGAACTAACCCATGCTGCCACAGGGTTTCATGGTCAGGGAGCTGTCATAACACCTCCTCTGTCGTAATCTCAGCTCTCCTCTCCCTCTGCTGCTTGAAGGGCCACACTCCACTCACCAGCTTGAACCAGTTCCACCTAGGTGGCCTGGATCCCAGGGAAATGTAGACTGAGGACACAGGAAGGAGAAAGGGAGGGCTCTCACCTCCATCAGGAGAATGTCCTTCGAGCTCTGAGCCCGCACCTTTGGGTGCTGGACCTTCACGGCCACCGTCCGCCCATCATGCAGCACTGCCTTGTGGACCTGGGCCAGGGAGGCCGTCCCCAGAGGGGTGTCATCGAAGCTCTGGAACAAATCATGGATCTGTCGGGAGTGGAGAGAACAGAGCAATGAAAAAGATGACCCAGTTCAGTGAGAGGGAGCCAGGAAGATGGGCCAGAGTCAGGGCTGCCTAGTGCCCCCAGGACAGATTTGAGAGAGAAAGAGAGAGAGAGTGTGTGTGTGTGTTGTGCGTGTGTGTGTGTGTGTGTGTGTGTGTGTGTGTGTTGAGACAGAGTCCCGCGCTGTCGACCAGGCTGGAGTGCAGTGGCATGATCTTGGCTCACTGCAGCCTCCGCCCCCCAGGTTCAAGCAATTCTCCTGCCTCAGTCTCCTGAGTAGCTGGGATTACAGGTGTGTGACATCACACCCAGCTAATCTTTGTATTTTTTAATAGAGATGGGGTCTCAAATTCCTGACCTCAAGTGACCCACCCACCTCAGCCTCCCAAAGTGCTAGGATTACAGGCGTGAGCCACTGCACCCAGCCTCCAGGACAGATTTTTTTGCTTTATCAGTTGTGTACCAGCCCAGGGTCTTGCCTGGTCCTCCACTGCTGGACATTCACGGTAGGCATACAGAGGAAGGGGGACAGAAGACGTACATGGAAGGCGCATCCTCATACCTGTGCACGGGCCCCTAAGCACCTCCATCAAAGGCCAAAGAAGTGCTCTTCAGAACTGAGCTTTATTTGCCCATTGAACTGTCCACCACTGTGCCTTCTAGGCTCTTACATATGGACAATCCAGCATTAACAGAATGTGGGCCCGGGGCAGCCCCAGTATCTCAGGGATCAGACAGAGGATGTGGGCCCAGGGCAGCCCCAGTATCTCAGGGATCAGACAGAGGATGTTTCCATTCTACCAACCAGGGGAGCTCAAAGAATCCTGGGCAGAGGCTCCAGACCAACAACTGCCTTTTGTTCCGGCCTGAGCAGCAGCCTCAACATGGGTCACCAAGTCCACTCCCAGCCTGGCCACTCCAGCAGAGACCCCAGGGCTGCAAGCCAGAACTTTGCTCTAGGTCATCACCTGCAATGCCACTCGAAGGTAGGCCTGGACAAAGCCCCTTGCTTTTTCTGTGCCTCATTTTCTTTTTCTATGAAGTAGAAAATATACTCCTCACTCTTCCTTCTTCTTTCTTCCTTCCCTCCTTCCCTCTTAGAAATGCCATACCAATATTCCTGAAGGAAATAAAATTCCCTGACTTGAGTGGTCACACCTACATGTCCAGATCCAAATATTCTGCCAACTAGGAAAGAGGCCCCTAAAGGTCTTTTCCAAGATTGGCCAAGGCTGAAATCCTAATCCTCTCCATTTCTTTAAGCCTCTGTGCAGCCTCACAATCCTGGAAAGTCCAGACATGTGCACACACATGCACAAGCATGTATAGATGCCTGCTGTCCTGGCCCACCCTCCTAGGCCCTCATGCTTTGAAGTCTATTCAGTCTGCACAGCCCTTCCTCCCTCTATCCCTGCTACTGCAGCAGCCACTCTGCCCTGCCCCTCCACTCCTCTCCTTGGACTTCAGATGTCACATGACCCACAGCCACCATCCCACCCCATCTGCTAGGCTACACCATCACTTTCCTAATCTCGTCTCATAAATCACTCCCTCCAGCCCTGTCATCATTGTTGTAGCTTTCACTAAACTCCATCCCCATTTATCAACAACCTGCCCAGATGAAAGGCCCAGGCCACATGAGGAAAGGCCTACGCTTCTCTGTCAGGAGAGATGGGTATGGGATTCGCTTCCCTGGCCCCCTTCATCCTGGTTGGTTTGTTATTTGTGTCTCTCCCAGTGTCTGGTTCTCCCTGCTCCCCCAAAAACACACTTGTCTTTTCTCCTCCTTCGTGAATTCTAGACTCCCAATAGCAAAATTCTTCCCTTGTCATCCACCCAATCACCCTGAGTTTCTCAGCATAAGAACCCTTTATCTTGGGCCTGGGTTTGGGATCATCATCCCTGTAAACCCCATTAGGACATCAGCTCCAAGTGGGCAAAGATTTTTGTCTGTTCTGTCACTGCTGAATTTCCTGCAACTCCCTAGAACAGGGCTGGAACTAGTTGGTGCCAAACAAATTTGTTGAATGAATGAATCCACTATTCCACTGGAGAAGAATTGAATCAACTTTTCCTTCCCTTTGAAATGGCTAGACCTTCCTGTCCCCACATTCCTATGAATCCAAAGACCTCAAACATGGAGCTTTCCAAAATAGAAAAAGCACACCTGTTCCTCCAAGGCAGGTGTGAGGCCCTGGCCTGGCCAATCAGGACCCTGAATATCTCTGGCCACATGCATTAGTTCAGAGATATACAGGTAACTCAACTGGTCCAATCAGACTCAATCATTTTACTTTCGTTTGATATAGATGTTTTTCTCAGTTGAACCTGAACATAAAAATATAAGCCTGGGGTAGAACTGCTGAGGGTCACATAGTAGCAACAAAGAAGAAAGCCTCTGCTGCAGAGACAGAGGGAGTGAACCCGGGCCACGGTGTTTGAGCCTCTTGATCCAGCCATGCCTGAGTACCCACCCTATGATTCCTTTTCCTGCTTAGGTCAGTTTCAGTTATCTGCCACACACAACTGAAGGGGCTCTGATGGATATAGTGTTCTCAGGCCCCAGCAGGGATAAGTGAAAAAAACACAGACCTGGTGCCCAGGCCCCACACAAGACCCAGTAAATGTGAGTTCCATCCCTTCCCCACCCCCTTGCTGGGACAGGGACCCAGGAATGGAAGGGAAGGCAGAGCCTCGGCAATGTCCTCAGCTGTTACATAATGAGATCAACACCAAGTCCCTTTGCAAGCCCTCTGGAGTTCCTGAAGGAGCACCAAGCAGAGGGTTTTCTGGAGCAGAGCTGTGAACTCACACCCTCATCTCTCGGGCAGCTAAAATGGCCCAATCTTCCCACTGAAAAGGGATTTGGGGGTCATCTGACATCAGTCCTTACCCCAAGCCTCCACCTGACTCCCAGGAACATGTGCTCATTGTCTGAGAAGGACAACCAGTCTCCAAGCCAGTGTCATTGCAGGGGCACTGCAGAGTCATTGTAACTGAAGAGTGACATGGCATCACTAGGGCTGTGTAGCAGGAACAGCTGCCAAGAGCACCCCACAGGGAGGTGAGGGAAAGAAAGAGCTGAGGCGAGCAGATCCTAATCTCCAGGGCGAGAGGAAGCCTGGTCCACCACATCCCCAGAGGACATGAAGGAGGCCTCCCACAATTCCCCATCCCCACCAGGGGAATCAAGGGGGCCCCAAGATACCACCTAATCCCAGTGGCCAACTCAGCACCCTAAACAAGAGCCAGCTGTGAGGACTTGCCCACATCCCAGTTCCACCAGCAGAAGCAAAGATAGGCATGGGGAATGAGGATGCACCCCTCACTGGGCACCGGAAACCTGTCACACAGACACCCCACCCCACCACCTCCCCAGTGTCCCTGCAGCCATCTTTTCCTTCTCTATCAGGAAGCAAGTCACACGCCCACACCCTCCTGTGCTTAAGCAAGCACACACACATACACACACATGATAATTGATTGCTAGTGGATGTTCCTAGCTGGCTTATAAAAAAGGTAATTAAAGATTGGTGCTGCAGCCTGTAATTAAATATGAATAAAGTATCTCTAAATGGAACCTTGATTCAAAGTGTTCAGTGGAAGTACTTTATGCTGATAGATGGTAAGGAAAAATAGACCCTGTCCCGAAAGCAGAATTATACCCCCCATGCAGCTGAAACAAACACCACCCCCCTCCAATCAGGCCTCGTCCCCCAGCCCTTTCAGCAGAAAACCATTACCAGAAACAAACTGCAGCATTTGCAGCAATTAGATTCAAGCAGGGCCCTCAGCTGCCTCCAGTCACTCACAGAAACTTGCCTCCTTTTCTAAGGCTTTCTTTCCCCATTTCTTTTTTTCCCCCGCTCTGGGTCTAGCGGCAAAATCAGTTAAGTAAAACAACTGCATTTTAATATGACTAGTTACGTGCTTTTTAATTACTGTCGGCCCGTGATTCAAATATATCGATGTCCCTGTCTGGAAAAGGAAAAATAATCAGAAAAAGAGTTTCTCTGGCTTTTTATCATTTGGTTTCTTTCTCTGTGTGTGTGTGCACACATGTGCGAAGGGGGGAAGTGTTTGTCATTTAATGAGCAAAAAAGCACGGGGGGGGGGGTGGTGTAAGAAAAAATGTGTCATCCCCTAGGGGCTTGACAAATCTGGGGCAGTTAAGTCCTCAGCAGTCTGGCTTCATGAGCCTGGGAATCAGGAGACTAAGTGACATCATACCCAAGTCAAAGGGCAGAGTAAGAGACTATCCAGAAACTCCACCCTGCAGAGTCCCATGAAGCCAGGGTACTGGACAATGTTTCCAAACTGCCACACTGAGCAGCCAAGCACTGGCCAAGACCAAAATAAGGTGACAGGAAGTCAGGATCTTCTAGAGAAACCACACGACGCCTCCTGAGGAGTTTTGCTTGGAGTACCTTAAACAGCCCCTCCAGATGCCACAGCGTGGCCAGCCTCAGGGCCCTCAGGGAAGGGGCTCCTCAATCACAGGATGGGGGACGGCTGAATTCTTCCAAGATAGCCCACTTTCAAATATTGCAGCCTGCTGTTCCCATACTCGGTCACGTCAGGCCGATTTTGGTTTTAGAAACTACATCACCGTATCAATAATGCATCTCACAAACACCGAAATGTCTGGCTCCAGATGCAGACGGAAGCCTGCCTCAAAGCAGGCAAGCCCAGGCCTAGATGCCAAGACCAAGCAGTTCCCACTTAGGGCACCTGGGGCAGAACCAACTCAGGGCAGGTTACCATGGCATCAGCAGCAAACAACATCTGGCTCCTGCAGTCTCGAGCTGGCCCCCCCTACACCTGGCTGGGTGCCAGCTGCCATCCACTGGAGCCTGGTGAGCAGAGAGACAAGTATCTGTCCACACTAATGGAAGTGGTTGGAGAGAGTTTCACCCACCCTTTCCCACCCCCAGCCTAAGGCAGACACAATAACTCCAGCTATCTAGGACTCTGCAAAACTCAGATGTCTGCCTTGGGCAGAAAACCCACCACCACCTCTCCAACACCTCTGTTTGGAACCCATCCAGTTCTCCCCGTACCACTTCCCAGGGACCTGCCCCAGATACCCCTATATCTTGTCATTGCCCTATCAGCCAATACCCGCTTTTGCTGCAATTCCTGCCCCTCTCCTTTAAACATGTCTGATTTGTAACCCACCTCTTCAGAATTATTCCTGTATCTTCCAAGGTGACCTGACGGTAACAGCAAGTGGCACAAGCACACTCATTTCCCGGTGATAGCTTTAAAATATGTTCACAATGGCCAGGTATGGAGGCTGATACCCGTAATCCCAGCACTTTGGAAGGCTGAAGCAAGAGGACTGCTTGAGGCTAGGAGTTCAAGACCAGCCTGGGCAACATAGCAAGATTCTGTCTTTACAATTAATTAATTATTAGGGGGGAAAAGGGTGAGAAACCACTGCAGTGTCCTAAGCATGGAAGTGACATGCCCTGATAGGTGTTAACAGAATCTTTTTAGTACCAACTGGATGTTAAAAATTAATTAATTAACTAAATAAAACATGTCCATAATTTTTTAAATAATACTCCTCCCTTTGAGAGGGGGCACCTATTCCCCTCCCTTGAGTGTGAGCTGGAATTAATGATCCACTCCCAACAAAGAACACATGGAAGAAGCGATAGCATGGGACTTCCAAGACCTAGTCATAAAGGCTGTGACGAGTCTCTCACTCGCCCTTGGATTGCTTGCTCTGGGAGAAGTGAGCTGCCACGGCATGGTGACACTCGTGCAGCCTGCAGAGGGGTCCATGTGGCAAGGAACCAAGGCCTCCTGACAACAGTGAGCCGTCTTGGAAACAATCCTCCGGCCCCTGCCAGGCCTCCATAGGACTGCAACCTCATGAGAGACTCAGCCAGAGCCTCCCAAATTCCTGACCCAAAGAAACTGTAAGATAACAAATGTTTATTGATTTAAGTCACAAAGTTTTGTAGGTGGGACGTGGGTAATTTGTTATGTGGAAATAGCTAACTAACACACCCCAAGCAAACCCATGCCAGACATCACCAGTCCATTCCTGATGATCCCAGATGGTGCCTTGGAATCTCAACACAGTGCTCCAGGCAGCCACTACAAATTGACCAGAGTTCATATACGAAATGAAACCAATTTGCTATTCCTTAGCCTAAGCCAATCAGTCAACACATATTTACTGCAGGACCATCATATGACAGGAACCATGTTAATTACATAGGGTGTACTTAACACAGTCTCTGGCCATGAGGAGACGTCCAAAGGCAACAGCCTCTCAGAAAAACACACTTGTATTTTAGCAGGGCCTGCTGGAGACAGTGCTTCCTGCACATTGCTGCTTCCTCCAATCCTGAAAGAAATGTTCGGCAAGGTAAGAAGAGGAGACCTCTGATGTGACCATGGTGATCAGAGGGGAGAACAGGCATCAAGTGTCTCTCTCCCTCCTCACTCCTTGTCTGGACCTCTGTCCCACTCAACAGCTGCTCTGCCTCAAGGTGGGAATACCCTCACCACCAGCTTCCCGCTCAGAGCAATTTATTATAATAAAAATAATAATGGCAATAACAGCTCAAGGACACGCCGACCTTGTCTTCCATGGAGTTTGTGTTCTTTCTGGGGTTCCAAAAGATCAAACTATTGGTTCTGCAGAGCCATTAGCTATTGCTGTTGCCAAGCTGAAAAGAAAATGAAGGGCCAGCAGCAGAACCTGAGGCCCTCCTGACAAGGGCCAATCCCAGAAATTACAAAACTGTTCCTGCACTGAGGCTGGCACAATGCTTGCCAATTGCTGAACCGCCTCCTGGCACAAGGCCATCACCCCCCTGGCTCTGTCAAGGGCATCACAGGTCAGACCAAGCTTCTTTCTTCCCTCAAGATGATGACCAGCGGCTGACAGGTAGGGAAGAAAAGAAGCCAGGGGCACCCATACTCCAGGATGGCTGTGTGCGCACTCTGAGACACGTCTATCAGCTCGTCAGGACAGTCTAGCCTGAGAAGCTGTAAGGCTTGGTGATTCCAGTGCAGGCTCTAGGTCAAACTGCCAAGGCTCAAATCCACTGTACCTCAGTTTCCTTATCTGTAAAATGGTTATTTTAATATTGACCTCATAGGGTCATATGAAACCACATACATAAAGGGTCTAGAATAGAGCCTATAGTAGCCCCCCAATAACTGCCATAGTAGTGGGTGCCTCACATGACGCCTCCAGTTATGAGGGCAGAGTGCTACAGTGAAGAGTGCTGGGCACAGAGTCAGCAGTTTCGGACTCTCAGTCTGCTTCCATCAGTGAGTGTAAGCCACCACCCTCATTTCCCCAGAGACTGCAATGACCTCCTCACCAGCCTGCCCTATCTCTTCCAATCCAGCCTACACATGCAGCTAGGGTGAGTTTCCCAAACATAAGCTGATCATGTCACTTCTCGCTGCATAAGTCACTACACCAGCTTCCTAGAGCCAAAATCTTGAACATGACCCATGGGGTCTGACCCGGCCTACCTCTCCTGCCCCACCCTCCTCCCTCTGCTAGAAACATATGACCTCGTTCAGCCACCAGCATGCTCTCTGCATGCACCATGGGCCCTTTGCACACACTGTCCCCTCTGGCCAAAAGGCTCCCTTCCCCCACTCATTCTTCCAATCACAGCTGAACAATCACCTCCTCAGAGAGGTCTCCCCTGCGTACATTCTCAGGGTTCATGCACCTTCCTTGAGAGCAATCGCCACAGCTGCACATTTACCTCTTCATATTTGCTTAATCTCCCCCTTCTCTTCTAGACTATAGACATCTGCTTTTGCTCAGCACTGCATCAAAAGCACCTTACACCTGATGGTACTCGGTAAGTATTTCCTAACAGATGAATGGAATTCAGGTTAGATTTCCCCTGTCCTCATCAGGGAGAGGGAACCTTGGGCCCTCCAGCTGATCCAGGGGAGCTGAAACACCTCCCAGAAGTGGCTACAGTTCCTTCACGGTGGCTGAGGGAGCCTCCTAGGTGCTGGGTACCTTGAGAGCTGTGGATGAAGGGACTCTACGGAAATGTTGTGATAATAATGATTAATAAAAAGCAGATAAACACCCAGTGTGGCTGGCCAGCCTGGGAAGCCATCCAGTAGAGCTGTCATTCATTCGTGGGGGGGGAAGGGACAGTCCAATCAGACCTCCCAGTTTAAGCAAACCTTCTGTAAATTGTAGGCCACAGGCACTGACATTTGATAAATTATTCTTCATAATCCACCGTTGGCTATCATAAATCTAATCTTTCAGCATTCCCCATCTTAATAACATCTATAGCCTCACAGGGTGACATATCTATGTCCCTGCCTGTAACAGAGATCTCTAGGGTAAAAGAGACCAGAGGTCCTGGACACAGTACAGTATGAAGCCAGAGACACCCAGAGCCAGGGCCCAGGCCAGGCAGGTAACCCCTGGGTGATCCAAGTACTGAGGCAATGAGCCAGCCCTGAGCCCCAGAGGCCAAGTGCTTATGCCCCACCACAGTTGAGAGAGGTGGTACCAGGAGATTAGACCCAGGCAAGACGGGCCCTGCACCCAGCACTGCAAGCCTGCCCACGTGAGAACCCACCACCTCCCCCTTGAATTTGAGCTTGGGTCAATACAAGGGAATGTCAGGATATCTTTGCCCTGCACGGACTGAATGCTCAACCATGGGTAGTTCCTTATATCTGGGTAAGGTCTGGTCCCTTCAAAATGCTCGTATGTAATTCTCAACCCTCTCTTGAGGTTAGAGGAGAGATTATTGCCTACATTTTATAAAGGAGAATATATTCGCTATGGATCACTCATTTATCTATCCAACATATGTTTACTAAGTGACTAATATGTGCAGGGCACGATGTTAATCACTGGGCATTTGAGGAGTAAATCCAAAGTGGGTACAGCCACCAGCCTCCGGAGTTACAGCTAGAACTTAGAAGTCAAGGGAAGGCGATAGAAAGTAACCACATAATCACAAATAAAAGTAAAATGGCCAACTCTGACAAGTGCAATGAAGGGAAAGCTGGCACCATAAGAGCCTATGCTCAGGGGCTGAACCTGCTCAGGGAGAGCAGAGAGAGCTTCTCTGAGAAGATGACAAACAGCAGAGATCTGAAGGCTGAGGAGCCAGTTAACTAGCTGAAGAAAGGAAGGAGAAGCTGGCCAGGTGCAGTGTCTCAACATCTGTAATCCCAGCACTTTGGAAGGCCAAGACAGGAAGATCACTTGAGGTCAGCAGTTCAAAACCAGCCTGGACAACATTAACAAGACTCCATCTCTACAAAAAAATAAAAAACTAATCAGGCATCGTGGCACACACCTGTAGTCCCGGCTATTTGGGAGGCTGAGGCAGGAGAATCGTTTGAACCCAGGAGGTAGAGAAGCCTTCCAGGCAAAGGGAACAGCATGTGTGAACCATGAATAAGGAGAATGAGACACAGAGACTGGAGAGAGCCAGAAATACAAAAGCCAGCAACTCCCAAACTAGGAATCCAGACTTGGTTTCCCTATTTCCCCCTTGGGAAGGGGTCCCCATCCACAGCTCCTGCCCACTGAGGTGAACGCCCAGCCACAAAGGCTCACATTCATTTCTGATGAGGGCCGTGAATTCTAAAACCTGACAAGCTCACCCTCACAAAACCCCAAAGGCCTTTTCCGACAACCCTCAGTTGTTCCTGCATCCACAAAGCACAGCATTCTTCACTTACAGCAGCTCCATTTGCTATCAGGACAGACGTCCTGGGCTTCAGGAGGTAGCAAAATGCCACACAGCAAATGTGCCTAAGCTATGATGCTTGCCTCGGAGCCAAAAGCAAGTAAATACCAAAGCCCTTTGTGTTTTTGTTTGTTTTTGAGACAGAGTCTCACCCTGTTGCCCAGGCTGGAGTGCAGTGGCATGATCTCAGCTCACTGCAGCCTCCACCTCCCAGGTGCAAGTGATTCTCTTGCCTCAGCCTCCCAAGTAGCTGGGACTACAGGTGCGCATCACCACACCCGGCTAATTTTTATATTTTTAGTAGAGACAGGGCTTCACTGTGTTGGCCAGGATGGTCTCGAACTCCTGAAGTCAGGTGATCCACCCGCCTTGGCCTCCCAAAGTGCTGGGATTACAGGCGTGAGCCACTGCACCCAGCCCCAAAGCTCTTTGTACATGCAAGGATGTTGCACCCAGTAAAAAGCTTTCTGGATTCACTTGGCATATGATACCAGCAGTGCCCAGGAATTTTAAAGGGAGGTAAACCCAGGCTCCATGGATCTACTGGGGAGACGAAGTCCACACTTGGGAGGTCGGGGGGTGGCAGTCAACATAACTCTACTGGCTCAGTTCAGCAAGCAGAGCAGTGATTAAGAACACTAGCACAGGGATCAGCGACCCATCTCTCTCTGCCTTGGTAGACCTGTGGTTTACTGGGGCGCATGCTCATTTGTTGACATGTTGCCCATGGCTGCGCTTGTGCCACCACTACAGAGGTAACCAGTTGTGACAGAGAGATGGTATGGCCTGCAACACCTAAAACATTTATTATCTGACACTGTGGTAGGCAGAAAATGAGCCCCCCAAAGATGTTCACCTTATATGGCAAAAGATACTTTGCAGGTGCCCCAAAGGCAAGGCTTTTGAGGTGGAAAGATGAACGTGGATTATCCAGGTGGGCCCAATATCAACCCAAGAATCCTTACAAGAGGGAGGTAGGAAGGGCAGAATTAGAGAAAGAGATGACATGACAGATGCAGAGGTGACAGGGTAAAAAAGGCAGAGGGAGACTGGAAGATGCTATACCACTGGCTGTAAAGATGAAGGAAGGGGCCACAAGCCAAGGGAGGCAGGTGGCTTCTATAAGCTGGAAAAGCCAAGAAAAGGGAATCTCCCCTAGAGCCTCTAGAAGGAATACAGCCCAGTCAACACCTTAATTTTCAGACTGCTGGCCTGCAGGATAAGATAATAAATGTGTGTTGACTGAAACCATGCAATGTGTGGTAATTTGTGACAGCAGCCAATAGGAGCCTCATGCAGGCCCTTTACAAATTTTACAAACCGATGATTACAGCACTAGTGTTACGCTCTCAGTGGAAGTCCATTTTTAGTCTTTTGCAATATTTTGCAGGGTCATGGTGGGGCTGGAAAGCTGGGGAATGAGATGAGGGGAACATAGGTCAAGTGTGAACCCCAAGATGTGAGACCAGGAAGGGGAACATCACAGCTTCCTAGTTCTGCCATGCCAGGCGAGGACACTTGAAACCAGTCCCTGTTTCCCTCCTGGGCTTCCTCCTCAATGTCATTCCTTCCCAGCACCAGGGCCAAATGCTCAGCCCTGCTCAGTTGAAGCGACATCTTCCTCTCTTCCCAAGGAGCCCAATTTCCTCTGCCGCTCACGTGCAGGCAACAGTCCATAGTTCACACACAGCAGTGGGGCCAGGCCAGACTCTCATCACTATGAGGACTTCGTGGCTGACGTGCAGGAGCAGCTCTAGCTGTTGAAATAACAGCCTCTCCATCCACAAACCCGGTGACAGGGAAACACTCACACCCCAGAGCTCTCATTAGATCAGGGTGCTAAGGAGTTTTCTTTTTTTTTTAATATCTAGAAACCAGGGACCGTAGGCTGTTCAGCCTCTCAATGCTGAACCCCACATTGCTCAGTGCCACTTGCCGACGTTCTGACCACAACCCACTCGCTCCTACCCTGAGGAAAGAGGAGGCAACTATGCAAATTCCAGCATTATAGAAAATTCCTTCCCCGACTGCCAGTAGGATGACCTGCTAACACCCACCACCGTCCATGCCAGAACCTGGGGAGGTGACTGTGGCACCTCCACCTCCTCCACACCTCTCCATGTAACCCATCCTTGAGTCCTGTGGTTTCCATCTGCAAATATGTCAGTCCTCTCCTCTCCACTTCCCTATGTCCAAGCCACCGCCCCATTTTGCCTGGATGACCATAACTGCCCCATAACTGGTCTTCCAGTGAGTTCTACTCTTGTTCCCCACACCAGCCTCAGACCCCCTCAGCACACCCAGCTCAGCTCTCCAGCCTTATCTTTCAGGGTCTCTGTCTGCCCTGCTGCCACCAAGCCCCTCCTGTCCCTGGACAGACCCAGGCTCTTTCCCATCCTGAGGTCTCTGCATTCTCGTTCTCATTGTCCCATCCACCTGTCCCTTAACCATCCTCTGGTCTCAGCTTCAATACTGCAACCTCCCTGCAGTCACTCAAATGCCAAGAGGAAAAGTCTAGGGCACTTACCACAGGTGTTATTAAAGCTTTATTTTTCTCCTCACACATTTAACAGCTGCTATTCCCCTATAAATAGATCATAGTGCCCTGATGGTAGCTTGTTCACCCTCATAACCCCTGGGGCCAGCACACAGAAGCGCACTAAATACCTGCAAAGTCAAACAATGAATACACAAATGATTGGTGAAGCCCCAGCAGGGAGAGGGGACACGCAGAGTCCACATACAGTAGCCCCTGCCTGTGGACACCCAAGCCATCCAGGCCCAGCACCTGCCCCACCCCAGCCTGGGAGACATAGGCCTCCCTAGTCTGGCCTCAAGGTTCAGACCCCACCCTCAGGTGACACCATAAAGGACTTCTTCAGTCCTGCCCCAAAGGCCTTCTCCATGCCTTTCTGTACATTCTCCTCTTGACCACACTGAAGTCCTGCTCACCTCTCACCTCCTCCAGAAAGCCCCATCCACCCCTCCTGCAACCCTATTTGCAGATTCCAAGAACACCCAAATGCTGTAACCTAAACCTCAGATAACTTTCTCTCTTCTTGTGCTGACCTCTTTCAAAGTTCAGTCTATAGCTCTTTCTGTACCATAAAATGTAAGCTCCTCAGAGGCATCAGGGTGGTTGTGATGAATCAAGAGAACTCAAGCAAAGCAGCCCATGCAGTTCCTTCCTCCAACCCTCTTGTCCCATTTGTACCACTGTGGAAAGAGTTCTGCACTCTCAGTAAGAGTACGGGGATGGGGGGCAGTCTAGTCCCACAGTCTCCCCACTGCCACCACCCAGCTGTGGGACCTCAGCGAAGTCACCTCACCTTGGGTATTAGTTCCTCACTTGTAAAAGCAGAGTGTTAGAGTACTTGATCCTGATTAGCCTTTCTAATGCCATGATCCTGTAACTCCTACCTTCCATCCTAATGGTAGCCCAGTGTATTATTCTGTTCTCACACTGCTAATAAAGACATACCCAAGGCTGGGGAATTTATAAAGAAAACAGGTTTAATTGACTTACAGTTCGGTGTGGCTGGGGAGGCCTCAGAAAACTAACAATTGTGGCAGAAGGGGAAGCAAACACTTCCTTCTTCACATGGCGGCAGGAAGGAGAAGAATGAGTGCCCAGTGAAGGGGGAAGCCCCTTATAAAACCATCAGATTATGTGAGAACTAACTCACTATCACAAGAACAGGATGAGGGAGCTACAATTCAAGATGAGACTTGCATGGGGACACAGCCAAAGCATATCACCCAGCCTCATCCCAGCCAACCTACACACACACACAAGTGCACACATTCAAACACAAGTACATACTCAAGTCCAGTTCTCCACCTGGGGTCAGGCTACACTGCCCGGTTACATGCAGGCACACACACGCACACTTATGCACATGCCAGCAGTTGCCGAGGCTTCCCTTCCAAAGTGGCACAGGTAAAGCCACTGATGAGCTCCCCTTGAACAGGGCCTCCCATGGCATAAATCACCAAGGAGGCCTGGCCTGGGAAATGGGCTTGTTTCTGAAGCTCCATGAATAAAGAAGCAGGCCCAGCTGGCCTATTCATAATCAGCATAAAAACTTGATTAGCCCTTTCCAGATTAAACATTATTGTTTTAACAGTGAACATAAATCAGCTAGACATGGAGGGCTCGGCTCCCTCTGCTGCCAAGTGGCAGCAGCAGGTAGAAAGCGGTGGGGAGGGAGGTGAGGGATAAGAGACTACTTATTGGTTACAGTGTACACTGCTCAGGCGACGGGTGCACTAAATCTCAGAATCACCACCAAAGAACTTACCCATGTAACCAAAAACCACCTGTACTCTAAAAACTATTAAAATAAACATTAAAACTTTTTTAAAAGCAGTGGGGAGGCCGGGCACAGTGGCTCACTCCTATAATCCCAGCACTTTCAGAGGTCAAGGCCGGCAGGTCACCTGAGGTCAGGAGATCGAGACCAGGCTGGCCAATATGACAAAATCCCGTCTCTACTAAAAATACAAAGAATTAGCTGGGCGTGGTGGCGGATGCCTGTAATCCCAGCTACTCAAGAGGCTGAGGCAGGAGAATGACTTGAACCCGGGAGGTGGAGGTTGCAGTGAGCCAAGACCATGCCACTGCACTCTAGCCTAAGCAACAAGAGTGAAACTCCATCTCAAAAAAAAAAAAAAGGAGTGGGGAAAGGGGACCTGGGGGCGGCACAGCAAGAAGACCCAGCTCTAAGGAAGCAGGCGGGAGAGCAAGAGGGCACCCCCACTCTCCCCCCAAGGCCAGCCCCCCATCTGAGAGCACAGAGAGGCAGCACCTTTCCCAGGGGTAAGACAGGGAAGAGCCTAACACCCCACTTCCCTCTTCTTCAAGAACCTCCTCAGCCACCTTATGATTGGCTTTTAGGGAACACAGGTCAGAGGCCAGCCCGGAGCGGAAGGCAAGATGTGCGGTCAGAGGAAAGGTGCTGGCCCCGCCCAACCTCGCAGACAGATCTCTCGGGTCACTCACCTCCCAGAAGCAGCTTGTGTGACTGAAGTGTGTGTCTCTGGAGTCCGGTGACACTCAAGCTCAGTTCCTGGCTCAGCCACCATCCTGCTGTGTGACCCTGAGGAAGTTACTTAACATCTCAGAGTCTCAGTTTCTATGTCTGGAAGTGATGGGAAAGGGACGCCAATCTCTCTGAGCTGTTGTGAGGACTAGATGAGACCATGTGTTTGAAAACATCTAATTCATGCCCAGGACAGAGGAAATGCTAAATATTCAGTTCCTTGACCTGCGAGGTTTCCTCATCTGCCTGCCCTGCCTCCCACTTGGGAATGCTGACAGAAGGCGTAAGCTGCTAAGATGAGAAAACTTTGTGAAAAGCGCAGGACCCTTTGCAAAGAGCCATGGAATGCTGGGGTTAGAAAGCCTGGGTTCTGAAGCCAGACCTGACTCTGCTCACGCTCTCTGAGTGACTTAGGCATGAGACCTAACATCTCTGGCCTCAGTTTGCACCTCTGTGAAATAGGAATAATAAAAACAGTACTTACTCTCACAGAGCAGTTGTGAGGCTTCTTTGAGATGATGCTGGCCTAGCCCTGACAGTGCTCCACCTGCTCCCCTCAGACCTCCCCTTCAGCTCCTGCATGACCCCCAGGATTTGCATCTGTGCCAGAGACTCCCTGGGACTTCCAAGTCTCAGGAAGTATCAGCTCCCAGGAGCAGCTGTCAGTTAAAGAAGTTAGGGCCGGGCACTTTGGGAGGTCAAGATGGGCAGATCACCTGAGGCCAGGAGGTTGAGACCAGCCTGGCCAACATGGAGAAACCCTGTCTCTACTAAAAATACAAAAATTAGCCTGGCTTGGTGGCGCATGACTGTAATCCCAGCTACTTGGGAGGCTGAGGCGGGACAATCGCTTGAACCCGGGAGGCAAAGGTTGCCATGAGCAGAGATCATGCCACTACACTCCAGCCTGGGCAACTGAGTGAGACTCTGTCTCAAAAAAAAAAGAAGAAGTTAGGAAGTTGGTGTATGAATGAATATCCTACCTTGGCCCTTGGGTGGGATGGGTGAAAGGTACGTATTTGACACCATTTCCCAGTCTGCCCACAGGACTAACCTGATTTTGCCCACAGTAGCCACTGGTTTAAGAGCAGAGAGTTACCAGCTGCCTCCCCCTTCCTGAACCACATCCCCACTTCCCTACTGGCAACATCTGAGCATCCCACAACATCACTTTTACTCAAATTATTGTTTGTTTTTAGGAAAGCCCAAACTAAGACAAGCATGTATTCCTCACTCATTTGGCCATGTTGGCCAGTATGTTCATTGTACATCTGGGCAGGCCTGAGGCTCCTCCAAAAAGCCATCCCCTCTCCCAGGACTGCCACGAGGAAGAACAGACCTCTGGGTCACGAGGAGACAGGGAGAGGCATCAGAAGCCACTGCAATCACATCCACCCTGCCCATACTGACAGCCCCAGCCCTGAGTGGCCTGCAGGGGAGACCTGTTCCCCTTCTCCCTGGAGAAGAGAGGGAAGGCCACGAGTTCCAGTCAGGGAGGAAATGAGGACTCTGTGACCCCTGTGGCAGTCCTAGAAGGCATGGGGCCAACTGCCAGGGCAAGTCCTTCAAGAGCCATAACCATGGCATTTGTCCTCCAGGCTATGGCCTCCTGACTCACTGCCCAACCTGGGACACTCACGCTCTGAGCTCCAGGGGGATGTTGAGGGGAGAAAAAAATGGCACCTGCCCCAGCTTAGGGAGACAGCTAAAAAGGTTCCATAGGGAGAGCTCACCTTTGCAAGATATGGATGATGGAAAGAGCCTCCTCGCAGGGCCCCTCCTTTGGCTCCCTCCATCCGTCCTACACCATTAGCTCACTTTGCCTAAAATGTCTCTTTATCAGTCTTGGGCACACACAAGAACACACAGGCTATTAGCTGATTTGACTTTACTTCTAAGACCTGGGGCCTAAGAAGATACCCTAAAACTTGCCACAGCAAGACCCAATGCCTATGGCTCTCTTTAACGTCCCCCAGAAACCAGCCCTTCTGCAGGGCTAGGAGCTGCATAGCGGGAAGAGTGGAGATGTCATCAGAGCTCAAATCCTGGTTCTGCTTCTTACTGGCTACATGAACATAGCTGTTACCTTCTCAGGGCCTCTGCCTCCTCAGATGGAAAACCAGAATGGTAATCTACCAGCCTTACAGAGTTATTGTAAAGGTTACAAACAATATCTGTAACACATCCAGCCAATGCACACTACATAACAAGTACCAAATAAACACAACCATATGTTATTATCCACCAACACTAATACCTACCATCTTGTCTGCCTTTACCCATCTGTGTTGGTCCATTCTCACGTTTTTATAAATACCTGAGGCTGGGTAATTTATAAAGAAAAGTGGGGCTGGGTGGAGTGGACACTATTTAACCCGGTACAACATCTGACTTAGGCTAAGTCAATCAGAGTCCTGAAATTGGGGAGCAGGGTCAGGCCCTCTTAGGTGTGAAGCTGAGAAGAGGTGAGGCTAAAAGCTGTCAATGGCAGCTGGTCATGGAGGGAAGCAGCTGTGAATGAGGCTGACCCACAGACAGAAGTTGCTGGGAGAGATACAAGAGTCCCAGAAGACACCCCAAGGCCCAACTCTAGCCCAACCCTAACTACAATGTAACACATCTCCTTTTTTGCCTTAGCTAGTTCAAGTTGGAGTTAAGATCCTTACAACCACAGAAGACCTAATGCACCCATCTGTTGTGGGTTGAACTGTGCTCCATAAATATTCATATGTGGAAGTCCTAACCCCAGCCTAGAATGTGACCTTATTTGGAAATGAGGTCATTGCAGATATATTAATAATTAGTTAAGATGAGGTCATACTGGAATAGCACAATCATAATCCAACATGACTGTGTCCTTATAAAAAGGGGAAATTTGGACACAGAGCCAGACACCCACATAAAGAGGATACCATGTGAAGATGAAGGCAGAGATTGGGGAGATGCATCTCCAAACCAAGGAACAGCAGGGATTGCCAGCAAACCCCCCAGAAGCTAGGGCCGAGGCCTAGAACAGATCCTCCCTCGCGGCCTCAGAAGGAACCCACCCTGCTGATACCTTGATCTCAGACCTCTGGCCTCCAGAACTGTGAGACAATACATTTGTTGTTTAAGCCAGAGGTTTGCGGCTAGCCCGAGAAAACCAATACGCCATCCAACCAAAGCTCCCTGCCACTCCAGGCCAGCTTGTCGGCTCTCTGGGCATTGAATTACCTGTGGTCATTACTCACCACCAACTGCCAACCCTGTGTGCCCTCAGAATTCCCCTCCTCAAATCTTACCCACCCTTCAAGGACCAGTTCAAAGCCCAAACCCCCACCACCAGGAACCCGCCTCTGAACTTCCCCTGAACTTCCCAACCATCAGCCCCACAGCTGAGGGCTTAATTGTTCTCTAATTACTCCCTCTGTGCACGGTTCTGCCTGCTTGGCTTTGGAGGGAGGGGCACAGCTTTAACATTCTGTATATCCCCCGCTGCAGTGGCACATGGGTAAGAGAATAGCAGTTGCTCTACAAATCTGTATTCTCTAGGTAAGCAAACCAACAAGTGGTGGGTCCCAACCTTCCCGGGGTTAGTGAATGGGGCCACCATGGGTTGAGGCCTTTTATCTGCAGGAAGTGGGTATGGAACAATCCAGACACACCAGCCGATCAGAGGGCTTGGGCACGACCCTGAGCACTAGATCCCAACAAAGGGGAGGCACCCCACGTGCAGCCTGTGGACTGAGAGTGAACTGGTGAGCACATTAGTATAATCACCCCAAACCACTGGCAAGACAAAAGACTGGAAGAAGGACAAAAAGAACCATAGGATCCTGGACTTAGGAAAATATGGCTTCCTCAAAGTCCGCAGGAAACTACAAGGTCCCAAGGACAATGCAAGCTACGGAGGCCCACTGGGTGGCTCTGACAGCAAGCCCAGCCCGATTGCTCGATTGAGTGCTGCCCTCTCTTCCGGGCACTGAGCTTCCATCTGAAACAGAATAGTCCAGGAGAAAGAGCACTGGATCAGGAATCAGGAGACCTGGGTTCTAGTCCTGTTTCTACCACCAACCAGTTGTGTCATTAAGCAAGTGACTGCCCCTCTCTGAGCCTCAGTTTCCTCACCTGTGAAATGTGGGGGTCGCACTAAATGATTTATAAGCCCTCACAACCCATGAGTGATTCTCCCAGATAACTTTTGTCCAAAGCACTTGCCACTGAACAACAGAAGGTGAACAAACAGAGTCAGTATTTGTTAAACCTCAGGAAGATCGAGGCACCAGGCAAGGTGCTGGATACAAGATGAGGGTGCTGGTCTTAACTGCCAAATTTTGCTCTCGCAACAACTCGACACGTAACAAGCACAGCTGACAGTGAACTGGCATTTACCATTCACCAGGCAGTGCACTTTGGCTGGGCTATAGCATTCATTCCTCACCACAGCCCTATTCATGTGAAGGCTCTCTTATCATCCCTGTTTAAACATGAGGAAACCAAGGCTCAGCAAAATCACAAAACTTACCCAGGATGACATAGAACATGGTGACACCAGGATTCAAGGTGCAGGACACAGGCCGGGAGCAGGGCACAGACAGGGTACAGGCCTGCAGGAGGGCAGTGGTCACAGGGAGAAGGTCGGGCCAGATGGGGCATCAGCAGGAAGCACAAGCCAGGGCCACCTCGACCATTGCCTTGCCTCTCCCGCAGTGACTAACAGCAGGCCATCCGTCCGTGCTGACAGCAATGCTTCCTGCCATCCATCTCCCACTAGTTAAATTGCAATTTTATGGCCGAAATCTCTCTCATAATTGATAAAAATCTTCTTTTGATGTCAGCATTATTGGGGGGGAAATGGGTTTTTTTATTCTTCATTATGTTTTTAATACAAATGTATTTTTTATTGAGAGCTGCTGGGAAGGCAGGATGAGGCCCAGCTGGGAGGAGGCGATCCCACTCCCTGGCCCCTAGTCCTCCTGTACATGGCTTCATGGCCACCAGATCCTTCTGTTCCATTCCCAGAATATTCATTTGGTAGCCTTCTTGGGGACAGTCTGGGGAGACAAACCAGATGCCTGAACAAACAAAGGTGGTGCTCAGGACCAGGAGAAGCAAGTCTACAGACCGCCAAAGGTTTCCAGGTAGCTTTGGGCCCGTGATGCAGCCTGGGCTGCTAGAGGGTGAGCTGACCTCAGCTGGACCCTGCCAGCATGGGAGAATGGCACTCCAAGGGGCACAGCCAGGGCGCTCCAGGGGGCAGGAACCCCAGGGGCTGGTGTAGTACCTGGCACAGAGGAGGTGCTCAATAAATGCACATGAGTAAATAAGAGGAGGATGGGGAGAAGTTGGATCAGTGCTGGAAAGAAGCAAACAATATGAGAGCCTGGAGGCATCTCTCCCCTGCGGGGGCTGCAGGCACAGGTGGAGTCAGACCCCAGGGTAGGAGGGGCTCTCCTGCCCCGCTTCTGCTCTAACCACTTCCCTACTCCTAGTCCAGCCCAGGGCATGCTCAGCCCTGGATATAGCCCACACCCGGCCCCACCAGGACACTGTAAGGGAAGCTGAATCTGGCTGCCACCTTGCAAGTGAAGAGGGTTAGGTGAGTGGGTCCTAAATACAGCACAACCACCAACTCCATGACTACAGGCACCTGTGACTCCTTGTTGGCGATCTGGCCAGACTTCCACCTCCTCTCACCCCTCATCCATGGAATTAGCCCTGCCTGGAGACCAAGAGCACATACTTCAGAGTCCCTAATCCAGAGGAGAGCTGCCAAAGGGCCTTGGGAAACTGCAGCAATTAACCCTAACCAGCTGAGCTGCCCCCCAGGTAACCCCCCAAAGTGGGAGACAGAGCCCTAGAAACCCAGGCTGCCTGGGAGCCTGTGGGGATTTCTAAAAGTAGCGGGAAGAGGCTGACCAGATAGAGTGCTGGGTACTGATCAGGAAGAGGAAGAGAAAGGAGGATTATTCTAGCAAAACAGTACAGTCATGTGCCGCATAACAACATTTCGGTCAACAACGGACCACATATACAAAAGCGATCCATTATATTAATAATACCATATTTTTACTGAACCTTTTCTATGTTTAGACAGATAAATACGCACCATTGTGTTACAATTGCCTAGATTCAAGCCTCCCTCAGTCTCATATTCTGAAAAGAACAGGCTATACCATATACCCAAAGTATATTGTAGGCTGTCCCATCTAGGTTTGTGTAAGTACTCTATGATGTTCACACAGCAACAAAATCACCTAATGATGCATTTCTCAGAACATATCACCATCATTAAGCAACATATGACTGAATATGGGACAGAGAGCTGTACCAGTTATCAGAAAGCCCAGGTAAAGATGGAACTCTGCCATTTACGAGTCTCTCAGAACCCCAGTACCTGCTCATAAAAAGCACACAGCACAATACACAGAAAGAATTATTAACGTTTACTGCCCCTTGCCCTGCAGCAAGCTTGCACTAGATGCTCCACAATCATTAACTCAATCCATCCCCACAACAAGCCTAGGTGGCAGGTAGTGTTATGATTCCAATTTTAGAGATCGGGAAATGGAGGGACAGGACAGAGAGGTTAAGTAACATGCCCAAGGCCACAAAGCCAATATACCAACAGGCAGTTTGGCTCCTGTCTACCGCCAAGGCTCGCTATGAAGCTCCAGGCCGTGTGAAAGCAGACCGAGGGTACACATGTGAAATCCTGGCTGAGGGCCACATAGGGAATCATGATGGTTAATTTTACATGTCAACCTGGCTGGGCCACAGCACCCAGATACTGGGCCAAGCATTACTCTGGATGCTTCTGTGAGGGGTTTTGTTTTTGTTTTTGTTTTGATACGGGGTGTCACTCTGTCACCCAGGCTGGAGTGCAGTGGAGTGATCTTGCCTCACTGCAACCTCCACCTCCCGGGTTCAAGGGATTCTCCTGCCTCACCCTCCTGAGTAGCTGGGATTACAGGTGTGCACCACCACACTTGGCTAAATTTTGTATTTTTTTTAGTAGAGACGGAGGTTTCACCATGTTGCCCAGGCTGGTCTCGAACTCCTAACCTCAGGTGATCTGCCTGCCTCAGCCTCCCAAAGTGCTGGGATTACAGGCATAAGCCATCGCACTCAGCTGTGTGAGGGTATTTTTAGGTGACATTTACAGTTTGTTTGTTTGTTTTTTTAATTCAATTTTTTTAACTTTTTTTTTTAACAGAGATGGGGTCTCCCTATATTGCCCAGGTTTGTCTCGAACTCCTGTGCACAAGCAATCCTCCCATCTCAGCCTCCCAAAGTGCTGGGATTACAGGCATGAGCCACTGTGCCCAGCCAAGATTTACAGTTATATTAGTGGACTTTGAATAAAACAGATTACTCTCCATAGCATGAGTGGGCCTCATGCAATCAGATAAGGGTCTGAACAGAACATAGACTGACCTTCCCCAAGCAAGAAGGAATTCTGCCAGCAGGTAACCTTCAAACAGCCTTCAGACTTGAACTGCACCATCGGTTCTTCCTGGGTCTCCAGCCTGCTGGGCCACTCTGCAGATTTTGGACTTCCCAGCCTCTATAACCCACATCAGCCAATTCCTTAACATCAATCAGTCTCTCTCTCTCTCTCTAGCTCTAAATACACACACACAAGCAAACATGCATGCACAAACACACATACACACACACACACACACACACACATTCATATCCTATTGGTTCTGTTTCTCTAGAGAGCCCTGAGTTACACAGGAATGAAATCCAGCCCAGCTCTGGCCAACCTGCCATAGCCTGGAGGAAGAGATGCAAAAAGAGGGCACCTTTTACCCCCTCCCATCAAGTTCTCCATGGGACAACAGAGGTGCTGTGTGCCCCTCGCCCAGGCAGGCCTTCTCCTGCCTCATCTCTCCACTTCTGCCTTGTTCATGCTGGTCCTTGCGCCTACAGTGCCTGCTCTCTGCCTCTACCACCAACAAGTTGGATAAACAGTTTATATTCTTGGAGGAAAGGCTTCTTTATCTCTTTTCTGAACATTTGCTTAAACCTTGAGCAAACAAGACAAGCTGCCCTCCCACTGCACCCACAGGCTCTTACAAAACAACTGGATATGAATTATTCTACCCGTTGCACAACGGTACCCCTGCACCTTCTCTCTCCTTCATTCTCATTGAAACTCCAGTCAGATGGTGCATCAAGAACACAGAGCACCTGCAGCATACGCTTGTCCCTACGTACTATGGGGAGCTGTAAAATAAGTTCCCCTGGGAGGAAAGACCAGGGGGTGAAAAACTGATAAAAACAAATTTCAGAGTACAAAAGCCAAACCACACCACCCAGACACCAATATAAGCATTGCCCCTAACAGAGGTATTTCTGTGCTCCATGCCAGCAGCTGGCCTCATTTCCTTCAGTTTCTCATGGGATTTCAGAGGTGGACAGAACCTTATCTGATATAACTATATTCTAGGACAGAACTGGACCATTTCTTTTTTTTTTTCTTTTTGAGACAGAGTCTCACTCTCTTGACCAGGCTGGAGTCCAATAGCCTGATCTCAGCTCACTGCAACCTCCGCCTCCTGGGTTCAAGTGATTCTCCTGCCACAGCCTTCCAAGTAGCTTGGATGACAAGCGCCCACCACCACACCCAGCTAATTTTTCTATTTTTAGTAGAGACAGGGTTTCCCCATGTTGGCCAGGCTGGTCTCGAACTCTTGACCTCAAGTGATCCACCCACCTCAGCCTCCCAAAGTGCTGGGATTACAGGCATGAGCCACCACGCACGGCTTGGACCATTTCTTGAAATAGGCTGTAACAAGATCTGACTTGTCTGTATGTCATGGGGGCAGGTATAGATGTGTGTGTGTGTGTGTGCGTGTGTGTATGTGTGTGCATGACCAAAGATAACAGCATAGTGTGGCTGACAATTCAAAGATCATCCCTTAATTTCCACGATAACTCTATCCCCAAGCTTCCCACCCACTTCAAACCTCCCCATCTATATCTTCCTCCACTTTTCAAAGATGACCTCATCTCCCACATTACTAAATATTCAGCCTATTAGGCAAATTCCTTCAACCACCCGACCACATGCCCCACCCCACTCCGTATATCTCAGTCTCTTCGTCCTTCTTTTGATCAGGTCCCTCCCCAAGTCCTCCTCTCCCTCAGACTCACATTCTGAAAAGAACATTCTAGGCCCTTCATAATGTGACCTCAGCCCCAATCCTACAACCTCTGCTCCACTATTCACCGGCTGAACGCCACATTGTAATCAACAAGACCTCACTGTTCACCTCCATGCTTTATGCTTTCCTGTCCCTGCACCTCTGCTGAACCCAGCTTATTAATCAGTAATCACTTCCTCCAACATCCACCTCCTCCAATTCCATCCATCTCTAAGGGGCTGGGTCAGAGGCCACCTGCTTCAGAAAGCCTCCATCTGCCCAAGGCAACCTCTCTCTCCTCTGCAAGCTCGTTGGGCACTATGTGGCCATGTATTACCATGATGAGTGAACCTCCCATGACCCTGGACTGTGAGGACTGGAATGAGGTCGTACCCATCCCTGGCTACACCCAAATGTCCGGCACTGTCCTTTTTCACTAAATGCCAACCGCGTAGACCAGCAGGAGAGAGAAGGAATGAAGGAAAAGGTGCTGAAGCACAGAATCACTGGCCATCAGAGACTGCGGAGCATCAGAGAACTCCTAACTCCAATACCACGTCCTCCAACATGGAGTCAAGGGCTGAGGCACCCAGGGTGGTCAACAGCCTCGTGGCTGAGGCTATGCATGCCCATTCAGGGTGTAGAGATGTCAGCCTGCGTTCCTTCAACAGCACGAACCATGCCCAAGAGCAGAAAGACCCCCAGTCTCATCCACCTGGTCAGGGATCCCCCCACAAAGAGAAGGGCCAGGTCTTTACAACCATCCCTGACTTGCAAGCTCAGGCGCCATCTGCTGGCCAAGGTCAGCACTGCATCTGGACCCACAGCCCCAAGGGCAGTCAAGGGGACCAAGGCTGGGACCACCCCTGACCCAGTCCAGAACGAGGTCACTTTTGAGGAGGCAGAAACGACCCCACCTCCCAGAGGCTGGGCTCCTGATTGCTTCCTGGAACCTGTCTTTCAGGATATAAGCCTAACAACCAAATAAAGGAAAAAAAGTAAGTTTCTTTCTGGTAATACTAGCTGAGAAACTTCCAAGATACACACAGACACACACACAACTGCTTTTTTTCCTGCCAAACAGAAGCTGTTATGTAGGGGACGAATCACCAGCCTGGGAATTAGAGGACATGAGGTCTCATCCCATTGCTTGTCACCAGCCCTCCCTTAGCAATGTGGCCCCAGCGCACTCCCTGCCTGAGCCAATGCTATGCAAGGAGAGTGCCCCTTCGAGTGCCCTCACCTCTGCACTGATGGTGCCAGCTGATGTGCAGAAATTCTGGCTGATCCAGAAATGCATATGAACCGTGGGGTCCAGAAGTACTGCACCCTCAATCTTACCCCCACACCTATGCTGGGAATGCCCCACAGGGCCGGGCCCCACCTGCCTGCAACAGGGATGGGTCTGAGGACATAGTGACCTCTAACACTGCTGTTGACCATCCAAGCACCTCCCTCACCACACCACCGCTCTCTACAGTCTGAGCTTTAGGAGCACTTATGGAATCTCTGAGCTCAAGGTAACCTCAAAGCCTATCCGAGGACTGGGACCTAGGAAGGTGGTGAGGCATAACTGACAGCCTCTTTTAAGCCAGGGATGAAATGGAGCTTTCTGCAGAAGGTCTTAGGGCTGGCATGGAGCTGAGGATGAGTGGGGCCCACTCAAGCATCCTGGAGGCGAGACTGCTCCCCGAGAAGTGTCATGGGAGGGGCTGGAGGAGGCTGGAAATGCCAAGTGAGTGACATTACCCCGCCCTCACACCCCCACACGCACCCACCCTTCTTCCCACATGGCCCCGCTCCCCTCCCTCCACCCACACACTGGGAAAGTGTGTCACCAGGGAACAAATGCCATCTTCCAAGGGGGAGGAGGAGGAAGAGGGCAGGGAAGACAGAGTGTGTGCCTGTGGGGCCCTGGTAAGAACCCAGAGGGCTCTGAAGAAGCTCCCCAGCTGCGAGGGACACCCCTCAGAACCATGACATGGACAGTAGCCCATTTCCTCAGGGGTCTAAAGAAGCATTGTGGGGGCAGGAGCCACATGGCCACTGTGCTCAGGGCTAATCGGCAGGGGGTGGAGGGGACTGGAGAAGGGGCCCTGAAGATCAGGCGACGTCTTCCAACCCCAAACATTCTTTAGCCAGCTGGGTGGGCCACCATGACTGCTGACACTCCAAACTTCCCTCACTCCACCCTGGCTTGGGGACAGCCACTAACCTGCCCTTGTCCCACCTCCCTCCCCAGCTCTCCAGACAAGTCAGCCTCCAAGGGTTAACCTGCTGCCTCCTGCTCCTTGTTTCCACCCCCAGAGAGCTGCCACACGCCAGCAATGATGCACTTCACACTGTTATTACCGTGATTTATTTAGTTTTAATTTGGGGGTGAATCTCGTGCTGTTAGAAGCTGGGGGCCAAGAGTCTTGGCAAGAGGCAAAGCCATGAGTGGGCCAGCACTATGCCAATTCAGTCCCCTCTGCCTGGGGTCCCTCTCTCCTGACCCTGCTCCTCCCAGCTTGCAGCCTGCTCCCTGACTCCAGCCACAGTTCGGGTTTACCTTTCACTCAATGTCTCTCCCTTTGGAGGACATGTTCCTCAGTGGCAGAGGAGTCAGAGATGTTTCTATGTTCACCTGCTGTATGATCCAACCCCCGCTCCAGGCCAGGATATCACTGAGAAGTGGGACACCTTTGAATGGATGCTGCGTACCTGGGGCCAGCTCCACATTAAGGGACCAATAGTCAGTGCCAGCTCCCTGTAAAAAGGGAACCACTGGTCTTTATCAAACCTCTGCCCTACTCTCCTGGCCCTGCGCCAAGTAGCCTAACAACACTATTTCTAGTTCATCCATTGGCTCTTTAAGCAGACCCAGGGCACCTGCTAGGTACTGTTCCAGAGCTGTAAATACAGAGTAAAAGGACTGTCATGGTCTTCATCCTCAAAGACTATGACTTGCAGGGAAATCCTTAGACACAACTAATCAAGCCACAAGTTGCACAAGTGCAGGGAGCAAAGTTCTGCAGAGCCCAAAGGAGGGATAAGATCGGTCAAGGGAGGGTCACAGAAGACTTCCTAGAAGAGCTGGGGTTTGGACGGGAAACCCAGCACCTAGCACCCTGCCTGGGATTTGCTAGCTGGGTGGACAGATAGGCAGATGGCCTGAAGTCACTTGACAAGTAGAGAATGAAGCAAAGACATCAGGCAGATGGTAGACCACGGCACAAGCACTGAGGACTAAGACAACACAGTGAGTTTGAGACAGGTAGCACAATGGGACCAGAGCGTAGGGAAACAACAACCACAATAGTATAGAACACCATTACTATACAAATAATAGCTAATATTTGTTGAGCACTTGCTCTACATCAGGTACTATACTAAGCACCTTCTATTCATTATCCCGTGTAATCTGCACAGCAACCTTATGTGGTGGGCTATAGATAAGGAAAGTGAGGTGCCAAGATCAATCATTTGTGCAAGGTCCAAGCTCTTGGCTCTAGAGTCTAAACCACAGTGTCACTCTGCCCCACCAACTTACAGACAGGTAGGTTGAAACCAGATGGGATGGGGCTTCAAAGCCCTACTGAGGATAAAGCTTCAATAAGGCCTTAAACCTTCAGTAAGTGACATTTATTATTAGGTTGAACCATATGAATGATATATAGGTTTCAGGTCAATAACAGTCTCATATGAACTATTTCATATGGTTGAACTGGTATGTTTCACTGAGGGCCACTGAGATTCCTTCTAACCTCTTTGATTTCAGCACTGAGAGTGGCTGTGACATTTGGTTTTGTGTCACTGGTGGATCCCCAGCACCCTGGTCGAGGCTGCAAGAATTCAGCCGGGGCCTTTTCTGAAGCATCCCAACCAAGGCCCATCCCCCCTGCAAAGGTGGGTACCTCCTTGCCCAGATCTTCTCGGATGACCTGGCGGATCTCTTGCATGCTGCTCTGTGGAGCCTGGCTGTGCAGTACCTTCAGCGTGCTGGTGTACTCCTCTGGCAACAGGTAGTCCAGAGCCCCCAGGTGCTGGCCCACCTTGATGAAGGTGCCCCGGTTGGCACAGCAGAGCTCACAGAGACGCCTGGCAGAGCGAAGGTGCACCTGCAGGAAGACAGGCCAGGACCAGAGAGGTGTGAGTGCAGACTGTTCCCTACACCTTGTTCCCTTCACCTTCCTGCTCTGCTTGAAAACCCTCATTACCCCACAATGCCCAGGGCAGATGCATGCACACACACGCACACACACACACCTTTTCCCTTGGTGTCCAGCTTCCTGGTACACGGGGCAGTCAACTCCAACCTCATACAGAGGCCGCCCTTCAAACACGGCCCAGTGCTTCCTATCTCCTCCTCTTCATCAAAACTTACCTAGTCTGGGTCCCACTCCCTAGAAATAAGCATTCAAGGCTTTTAACCAAGTCTAACCTACTAATGACTCATTCAAGGGACACAGAGTTAAAGTATTTGCCACCCACCCCTCAGACATACCAATTATGCTTTGTTTGTTTGGATTGCTACGTTTTATAAAACATGGTCATATGTATGGTATCTTTTAATCTTCACAGCACCTCAGGGAAGCAAGTTTTGGTATCTTTAAAGAAGATAAACTCCGTCGTTTTGTTGCTAAGGAAATCACTAGGCCAGGCGCGGTGGCTCACGCTTGTAATCCCAACACTTTGGGAGGCCAAGGCAGGTGGATCATGAGGTCAGGAGTTCAAGACCAGCCTGGCCAAGATGGTGAAACCCCATATCTACTAAAAATACAAAAAAAAAATTATCCAGGCATGGTGGCGGGCACCTGTAATCCCAGCTACTTGGGAGGCTAAGGCAGAGAATTGCTTGAACCCAGGAGGCGGAGGTTGCAGTGAGCCGAGATCATACCACTGCACTCTAGCCTGGGCAACAGAGCGAGACTCTGTCTCAAAAAAGAAAGAAAGAAATCACTAATAAATATCAAAGGAAGGTCTAGAAAACACTCCAAAATCTAGGGCTCTTTAGTGCAGCAAACTTTAGCAGGGGTCTCCTATTAACTGGAGGAGTCACTGTAGTGGGGGGTATGAGGCACATGGAGAAGGCATCTGGGCAGGTTGCCTAGGACAGAGTAGCCTTAATTAACATCCGGATGCTCACCGGTCCTTCCAGAGTTGGGAGGTGGCCCCATCTGCCGCCAGGCTGCATATCCACAGTCATCCCCCCTGCCCAGTTGAGGGCCTTGGTACTATGAAGGTCCTACCTTCTAGGAGCTAAAGCCTCTGAGGCAGGATGGGGCCATGGGCACATGCAGAAGACAAGGGACCCCAGTACCCTGTGGGGACCTGGTACCTGCCTCCTCCCATCTCAGTCAACCAAGAGAGTGAACCACGAGGATGGACTTATACTCTTCAGTGCCACGTAGGACGCTGATGTAATAACACATATTGGGGGCCATAAAATCATGCGAGGAGTTAAATAACAGTTGACAACAAAGGTGGAAAAAGCATTCAAAGATCCTGTATAATTAGTTGCCAAGTGAACCACACAGGAAATTTAGAAATTAAGAAGTTTTTTTGTTTTCGTTTTTGTTTTAGCTCCCACATGTAAGAGAGAACATGTGATATTGGAAGTAGAGAGTGGAAAAACAGATAACAAACCAGCCAGTATGGGTGTTGGGCAGGCAGAGGATGAAGAGAAGTGGATTAAAGGGTACAAACATAAAGTAAACTTGAAAGGATAAATTCAATGTTTGATAGCAGAGGAGAATGACTATATTTAGAAAACTGTATTGTACTCAGGTGATAGCTACCCTAAATACCCTGACTTAATCACCACACATTATAAATGTGTAACAATTTCCCATGTACCCCATAAATTTGCACAATTTTTTTTGAGAAAGGGTCTCACTGTGTCTCCCAGAGTGAAGTACAGTGGCATAATCATGGCTCACAGCAGTCTCCATCTCCCAGGCTCAAGCAATCCACCCACCTCGGCCTCCCAAAGTGCTGGGATTACCATCATGAGCCACCACGCCCAGATCGCTGCTGCTCAGAAGAGACTGCTGCAGCCCTGAACACCCTCAACCCAGCAGCCAGAGGGCCCATCCGCCCACCTCCCGACACAGCAGAGGGGCTGTCTCAGACTCCAGGCACTAGCAGGCCATCCTTAGGCCTGCAGGGGCCTGTCCACTTCAAGCTTTGCTAGACTTTTTTTTTTTTGGAGACACCCAGGCTGGAGTGCAGTGGTGCAGTCTCGGCTCACTGCAACCTCCATCTCCCAGATACAAGCGATTCTCCTACCTCAGCCTCCTGAGTAACTAATTACAGGCGCATACCACCACACCCGGATAATTTTTGTATTTTTAGCAGAGATGAGGTTTCACCATGTTGGCCAGGCTGGTCTTGAACTCCTGACCTCAAGTAATCCACTCGCCGTGGCCTCCCAAAGTGCTAGGATTATGTAATGAGTTTTAACCTGCCTCATATTAATTAAAAGCATTGTCACAGCCAGCTTGGTTTGGGGTTTGGGAGGGAGGCAGTGAATAGCTAATAAGATCAACTCAGTGTTGATTAGTTATTGATTAGGTCAGATGGAGTCAAAGCCCAAGGAGGGCAATCCTTTACCATATCTAAAGCCCCAAGAGCAGGGGCCCTAGTCCCCAAGCTAGGCAGAAAGGTATCAATGTCACACTGAATCCATGGGACTCCCCTTCAGAACTGGGCAATATCTCCAATGGGGCTTAGGGGTGTGTAAGTGTCAGAGTGGAAAGAGACCATCAGACAGTCATACATACACACCCCACACACAGAGAGACAGGCAGACATGGAAAGAGAAGGCAACAGACCCCAAACTGACCTTTGATTAATTCTTCTAGTCAGAAACTTAAGCCCTAAAGGAATGAAACATTAACAGTGTTATCTCTGGGCTGTGAAATTATAAGAGTATTTTTTTCTTCTATATAAGTTTTTCTGTATTTCCCAAATTTCTTTTTTCTGGACACAGAATCTTGCTCTGTCGCCCAGGCTGGAGTGCAATGGCGTGATCTCGGCTCACTGTAGCCTCTGCTTTCCGGGTTCAAGTGATTCTCCTGCCTCAGCCTCCTGAGTAGCTGGGATTACAGGGGCCCGCGACCACGCCTAGCTAATTTTTGTATTTTTAGTAGAGAAGGGGTTTCACTATGTTGCCCAGGCTGGTATCGAACTCCTGAGCTCAAGTGATCCACCCACCTTGGCGGGTGTAATCCCAAAGTGTTGGGATTACAGGCATGAGCCACTACACCTGACCTGTATTTCCCAAATTTCTTATGAATAATAAATATTATGATAATGGGGGAAATTTTTTTATCATCCCTTTTCAGCATCTTCTGAAAATGGAAAGTCCAGCTGATTACTTTTTTCAGCTCTAAATGGACAAGATTCTGCCACGCAGACTAGACCAGCTTTGATTAGAGAGAATCCAGCATCTCTTTCCTAATTTGGCAGGGTCCCATGGCACACATGTGTACTGTCCATCAGAAAAATGAAATTGTAACCCCTCATCCCCAAGAAATCAGGCCCACACTGTCCGCAAGGTCTCTTTTCTAGATGCTAATCTTTACGTTGTCATTTAGACAGCAAAGTAAAGCTCATCATGTCTTAGGGGAAAAAACAAGTTGCAGTTTGTAAACATATTAACAGAGTTTAACCTCAGACTGAACCCCACCCTGACCACACATGGGATAGTTCTGCAGTTAAGAACACAGGACTTCAGAGTGTCTCAGGCTACATCCCAATTTCACCACATAGAAGCTGGTGGACTTGGGCAAGTTACATAACCTTCCCCTACTTCAGTCTTCACATCTATAAAAGTAAGATAATAATAGTACCTACACCTCATAGGGCTGCTACGAAGATTACATGGGGTATCCATTTAGCCAGGGCTAGTGTTTCCATACTTACTACAAGGGGATTGGGATTTGTTTCAATCACGCATGGTAAGACACACAAACACAGAAATGATTACCATGAAAGCAGAAGCCTTTACTCACAAGTCTCTAGAAATAGACGGCATGATGGCATGCCATGCCAGGCCACGTGGGGAAAGAAGCACCAGAGTCAAAGGCAGAGGGGGAAAGCAGGAAAATGTGGACAAGAGTCTTTGCTGCTATTCCATGCGAAGGAAAGGTCAAGGCAGGGTAAACAGGATTAGGACTGGTTAGTTGGCATGGGAGCTCTCCCTACTTGTCTACTACCTAATGATGGGGCAATTAGGGCAGAAGAATAGTAGTCCAGAGTTCAAGAGCCTAATAAAGTAGGTGGTTGTGAGGTAGGGCTCTGAATTTGTTGATTTGCATATGAAAAGCACACTCCTGTGAGTGGGTGGCTGACGCCTGTAATCCCAGCACTTTGGGGAGCCAATGCAGGTGGATCACCTGAGGTCAGGAGTCCAAGACCAGCTTGGCCAACATGGTGAAACCCCGCCTCTACTAAAAATATAAAAAAATTAGCTGGGCATGGAGGAGGGCACCTGCAATCTCAGCTACTCAGGAGCCTGAGGCACAAGAATCACTTGAATCCAGGAGGCGGAGGTTGTAGTGAACCAAGATCACACCACTACACTCCAGCCTGGATGACAGAGTGAGACTCCATCTCAAAAAAAAAAAAAAAAAAAGCCCACTCCGAAGAGAGCTGCTACCTCTCTAAGAATTAGTTGACCCTGGGAGGAGCGGTCCCTCCAATGCCAGCAAAACTTCAAGATGTCAAAGCACCAGAAAATATAGAAAATAAAAAACAGGATTAATCCAATACTCTAACTATACTCCCTTGGGGATCTCATCCAGTATCATGGCTGTAAATACCATCTGCACATTGATACACACAAATGTGTATCTCCTTCCCAGACCTCTCCTCTTACTGGAGCTTGCTGATTACAACTGCCTCTCTAACATCAATTACTCCAATATCCAACAGGCTCTTCAAACTTAGCCTGACTTTCCCACCACTCCCACCACCACCAAACCTGTTCTTCCCAGTCTTCTCCATCTTAGAAAATGGCAAGGCTAAACTTGGACTTTTTCAGGCCATAAATCATGATGTCAACCTTGACATTTCTTCCAAAACAGGAGCTAAAATTACCTTCCCATCTGAAAAAACTGGACAGCATATATAAAACAATGGTGTTCAAGACACTTGACATTAGGCAAGGAAGAAGAGTGATTCCTGAAAGATGAGAAAGAAACAAGGTGACAAGGTGAACATGATGAATGCCCCAGTTCACTGCATTGGGAGTTTCCAGGCTGAAGTGGCAGGGAGGGGAAGCCAGGCAGTGACCAGAAGACTCCTCAATTGAGGAGATACAGCTGAGAGTCCAGAAAGAGTTCAAGGGACAGAGCAGTGAGGAGAGAGCTGTACAAAAAAAGAACACTAAAGATCTGCAGAGACCCCACCGCATATACAGCTGAGTACCAATCAGCACGTGCATATCCAAAAATTGTCTGAGTCCAGGAAAAGAATAACCCAAAAAGCTTAGGGTTAACAGTACCCAGCATTCACACAGGACCTATTTCCACCAGCCAAGATGAAAAAAATCTCATAGTTCATGGGACATTTGTGGCAACACCCAGAAGGGCCTTGCGTCAGTAATGGCATATATCCCAAAACAAATACTGTTCCATTCCCATCTAACAAATATTAAAAGCAAGATCCAAAAAAAGCAAACTACTTCAGGTAACTTAACTGTGTCCCAGAACAAAGCTCAATATTTATAAGAATACAAAAATATCTACCACCCTAAAAATAAAAGCACAATGCCAGGCACAGTGGCTCACACCTGTAATCCCAGCATTTTGGGAGGCTGAGACAGGCAGATCACCTGAGCTCAGGAGTTCAAAACCAGCCTGGGCAATATGGCAAAACTCCATCTCTACATAAAATACAACAATTAGCTAGACACGGTGGCATGCACCTGAAATCCCAGCTACTTGGGAGGCAGAGGCAGGACAATTGCTTGAGACCAGGAGGCAGAGGTTGCAGTAAGCCAAGGCATGGATGACATAAAAGAGACAGAAAGAGAACCCTATCAAACTTTTAGAGATGAAAAATGTAATGCATGAGATGAAAAGCACACAAGATGCAATTAATGGCAGATTAGACATTGCAGGGGGAAAAAAATATCAGGCCAGGCATGGTGGCTCACACCTGTAATCCCAGCACTTTGGGAGGCCAAGGGGGACGATGGGTTGCCTGAGCCAGAGATTTTGAGACCAGCCTGGGCAACACAGCAAGACCCTGTCTCTAAAAAAAAAAAAAAAAAAAAAAAATATATATATATATATATATATATACACACATAAAAGATTAGTGAACTTGAAAACCTGGCAATAGAAACTATTCAGAATGAAACACATAGAAGTAAAAATAATTTTTTCTTACTGAAAAGAACATCAGTGAACTGTGGAACAAATTCAAGCAGCCTAGTAAATATGTAGTTGAAGTCCCCAAAGGAGAAGAGATGAGGAGTGAAATATATATATATATATATATATATATATATATATATATATATATTTATTTATTTAAAGAAATAATGGCTGAAATTTTTTCAAATTTGATTTTTTTTAAATGTATAAACTAATAAATTCAAGGACCTCAACAAGCCCCAAGCACAAGAAACATGAAGAAAGCTACATAATATTTTTAAACAATTTATACAGAGAAAAAAGATACAGACAGAAGAATAAAGATACGAATGATGGCAGATTTTTCACTGGAAACAATATGAGCAGAAGTTAGTATAGCAACATCTCTGAAAACAAAGAATTCTAAACCCAGCAAAGAAAATTTTTCAAAAATAAAGGTATAAAAGTTCTTGCAGATGTAGGAAAACTGTAGGAGATAACATCTCCTGCACTACAAGAGATGTTAAAGAACTGGCCAGGCTTGGTGGCTCATGCCTGTAATCCCAGCACTTTGGGAGGCCAAGGCAGGTGGATCACGAGGTCAGGAGTTTGAGACCAGCCTAGACAATAAGGTGACACCCCGCCTCTACTAAGAATATAAAAATTAGCCAGGCGTGGTGGCGCGCACCTGTAGTCCCAGCTACTCTGGAGGCTGAGGCAGAAGAATCACTTGCACCCGGGAGGCAGAGGTTGCAGTGAGCCGAGATCGCACCACTGCACTCCAGCCTGGGCAACAGAGCGAGACTCTGTCTCAAAAAAAAAAATTAAATAAATAAATACATAAATAATAAAGAGCCTTCATCAGGCAGAAGAAAAATGAAACCAGATAAAAATATGAATCTATATAAGGGAACAGAGAGACCAGAAATAGCAACTTTATGAGTAAATATACAAGAACTTTTTTATATTTTATATCTCTTTAAAAGACAAATGATTGCTTAACCAAATTATTAACAATGTAATGTGGTGTTTATAACATAAAAGCATGTATTACATCAATAGCATAAAACTTCAGAAGCAATGAAAGTATACGATTTTAAGATTCTTATACTCTTTGAAGTACTATAATATCACTTAAATATAGACTGACAAGATGTATACTATAAACTAAAGCAATCATTAAAGTAACAAAAAGAATTATAACTCATAAACCAACAAAGGAGGTAAAATACAACCATGAAAAATACCCAATCCAAAAGAAGGCGTGATAAAGGAAACAGGAATGAAGAACAAATAGGACAAACAGAAAACGAATAACTAGAACAAAGACATAAATCCAACCTTATCAACTATCCCTAAACACCCTAAGTAAAAGTAAGAGATTGTCAAACTACTCTTAAAAAGACCCAAATATGGCCAGGCGCAGTGGCTCACAGCTGTAATCCCAGCACTTTGGGAGGCCAAAGTGGACAGATCATGAGGTCAAGAATTCAAGACCAGCCTGACCAATATGGTGAAACCCTGTCTCTACTGAAAATACAAAAATTAGCCAGGCGTGGTGGCACGCACCTGTAGTCCCAGCTACTCGGGAAGCTGAGGCAGAAGAATTGCTTGAACCCAAGAGGCAGAAGTTGTAGTGAGCCAAGATTGTGCCACTGCATTCCAACCTGGGCAACAGAGCAAGACTCTGTCTCAAAAAAAAAAAAAGACCCAAATGTATGCTGCCTAAAAGAAACGCTCTTCAAATATAAAAACACAAATAGGTTAAATGTACGGAGTTGATGCAAAAGTAATAGCTGTCTTCATTAAAAGTAATGGCAAAAACTGATTACTTTTGCACCAACCCAATAGAAGGATAAAAAAAAAGATACATCGGGCCGGGTGTGGTGGCTCACACCTGTAATCCCAGCACCTTGGGAGGCCAAGGCAGGCGGATCACAAGGTCAGGAGATCGAGACCATCCTGACTAACATGGTGAAACCACATCGCTACTAAAAATACAAAAAAAAAAATTAGCCAGGCGTGGTGGCGGGCACCTGTAGTCCCAGCTACTCGGGAAGCTGAGGCAGGAGAATGGCGTGAATCCGGGAGGTGGAGTTTGCAGTGAGCAGATATTGCGCCACTGCACTCCAGCCTGGGTAACAGAGCAAGACACCATCTCAAAAAAAAAAAAAAAAAAAAGATATATCATGCCAATGCTAATCAAAAGAAAGCTGAAACAGCTATATTTATAGCAGACAAAATTGATTTCAGAGAAAAGAATATTATCAGGGATAAAGAAAATTATTTCATAACAATAAAGGGATCAATCCATCAAGAGGATATACCATCCTAAACATTTATGCACCCAATAACAGCTTCGAAATACATGACGTAAAAAAACTAATGAAACTGCAAAGAGAAACAGAAAAATCCACATTATAGGCAGAGATTTCAATATCTTCTCAATACATGATATAACAAATAGATAGAAAATGAGTTAGGATATAAAAGACTTGAACACTATCAACCAATCTGAACTGGCATTTATAGAACACTGTCCAACAACAGCAGAATATACATTATTTTCAAGTATAAGAGGAACATTTGCCAAGAGAGACCATATTCTTTCTGTTTGTTTTTTGAGACAAGGTTTTACTGTGTCTCCTAGGCTGAAGTATAGTGACACCATCATTGTTTACTGCAGCCTTGAACTCTTGGCCTCAAGGGAGTTTCCTGTTTTGGCCTCCCCAGTAGCTGAGACTACAGGCACACACCACCACACCCAGGTAATTTTTTAAAATTTTTTGTTGAGTCAGGGTCTCACTATGTTGCCCAGGCTGGTCTCACTATGTTGCCCAGGCTGGTCTCAATCTCCTGGCCTCAAATGATCCTTCTGCCTCAGCCTTCCAAAGCACTGGGATTATGGGCATGAGCCACCACATGCAGCTGACAGACCACATTCTGAGTCATAAAGCAGATCTCAGTAAATTTAAAAGGATCAAAATGTATAAAATATTTTCTCTGACCACAATGGAACCAAAGTATAAATCAATAACCAAGAAATCTCTGGAAAATTCCCAAATATTTGAAAACCAAGGCCGGGCTCAGTGGCTCATGCCTGTAATCCTAGCACTTAGGGAGGCTGAGCTGGAAGGATCACCTGAGGCCAGGAGTTCGAGAGCAGCCTGGGCAACATAATGAGAGCCCATCTTTACAAAAAATAAAAATGAAGAAAAATTAGCCAGGCATGGTGGCATATGCCTGTAGTCCCAGCTACTTGAGTGGCTGAAAGGTGGAAGTACTGCTTGAGCCCCGGAGGTCAAGGTTGTAGTGAGCCATGATCATGTCACTGCACTCCAGCCTCAGCAACAAAGCGAGACCCTATCTCAAAAAAAAGAAAGAAAACTAAATAACACCGTTCTAAAGAACTCATAGGGCAAAGAAGAATCAAAGGTAAATTAGAGAGTACCAGTTGGCCAGGCAAGGTGGCTCATGTCTATAATCCCAACATATTGGAAGGCCAAGGCGGGAGGATTGCTTGAGGCCAAGAGTTCAAGACCTGCCTAAGCAACATAGAGAGACCCTGTCTCTGCAAAAAATTTAAAAATTGCTGGGTGTGGTGGCATATGCCTTTGGTCCCAGTTACTCAGGAGCCAGAGATGAGAGTATCCCCTGAGCCAAGGAGTTTGAGGCTGCAGTGAGCCATAATTATGCCACTGTGGCCGGGCGCGGTGGCTCACGCCTATAATCCCAGCACTTTGGGAGGCCGAGGCGGGCAGATCACGAGGTCAGGAGATGGAGACCATCCTGGCTAACATGGTGAAACCCCGTCTCTACTAAAAATACAAAAAGAAATTAGCTGGGCGTGGTAGCGGGCGCCTGTAGTCCCAGCTACTCAGGAGGCTGAGGCAGGAGAATGACGTGAACCTGGGAGGCGGAGCTTGCAGTGAGTTGAGATCATGCCACTGCACTCCAGCCTGGGCGACAGAGTGAGACTCCGTCTCAAAAAAAAAAAAAAATTACACCACTGCACCTCAGCCTGGGCAACAGAGTAAGACACTCTCTCAAAAAAAATAAACAGGCCGGGCATGGTGACTCATGTCTTTGTAATCCCAGCACTTTTGGAGGCTGAGGTGAGAGGATCACCTGAGGTCAGGAGTTGGAGATCATCCTGGCCAACATGGCAAAACCCTATCTCTATTAAAAATAAAAACATTAGCCAGGCATGGTGGCACGTGCCAATAATCCCAGCTACTAAGGAGGCTGAGATAGGAGAATTATTTGAACCCAGGAGGTGGAGGCTGCAGTGACCCAAGATCGCACCACTGTACTCCAGTCTGGGCCACACAGCAAAACTCCATCTTAAGTAAATAAATAAATAAAATAAAATGCATGAAGTCTTTCACACACATTATCTCACCTGACCCAGGTAAAAGCCCTTGAGATAGGTACTATCATTCTCCTCATTGCACGGATGCAAGAACTTGGGCTCCAAAAAGTTAGAGGTCTTACCAAGCTTACTCAGCCAGTAAATAGTAGATTCAGGGTTTGAAACATTGCCCTCTAATTGCAAAACATCTGTCTTTCTCTACACTCTGCTGCCCATCCACACCATTACACATTCCTTGTAAGTGAGAAGAAAAACATCCAGGCCGGGGCTCATGCCTGTAATCCAAGCACTTTGGGAAGCCAAGATAGGAGGACTGCTTGAGGCCAGGAGTTCGAGACCAGCCTGGTCAGCAAAATGAGACCCCCATCTCTATTTATTTTAAAAAATTTTTAAAAGAAGAAGAAAAACATCCAGGTGGCCACTACCCACTATGGGGCCCTCAGTGTTGCCCTCCCCGGTTCCTCACAACACCCACCCACCCTGGTCCCCAGCTGAGCCCCAGCTAAGTCTCAGGGTTAGGCCACACGGCCACCATGGCTCTGGCCACGTCTGGGCTCCCGGGAACTGTTCCAGTAAGCCAGAAAACAAACTCTGAGATTGGGAACAAATTCATGAACACACAGGGGGATCTGGAAGGCCTCGTTATAGAAACAGATTGGGAATCATTGTGAGAAGGAAGCCAGGGAAGCCCTAGAAGCATGGGGTCTCTGATGACAGCAACTGGGCCACACTAGAGGACTGTGCAGCCCAACAAGGCAGGGCCAGGAAGGGCAGCACACTGGCCACAGTGGGAAAAGGGAAACAATCTTCAACGATAACCCTTCAAAGGTCCTCACTGCCTCACTGGCCCTGGTATGAAGTGGGTTTTTTGTGGGGTTTTTTGTTTGTTTGAGACAGTCCCACTCCATCACCCAGGCTGGAGGGCAGTAGCAGGATCTCAGCTCACTGCAACCTCCACCTCCTGGGTTCAAGCAATTCTCTTGCCTCAGTCTTCTGTGTAGCTGGGACTACAGGCGCCTGCCACCACGTCCAGCTAATTTTTGTATTTTAGTAAAGATGGGGTTTTGCCATGTTGGCCAGGCTGATCTCGAACGCCTGACCTCAAGTGATCCACCCACCTCAGCCTCCCAAAGTGCTGGGATTACAGGTGTAGGCCACAGCGCCCAGCCTGGTATGAAGTTTAAACTCCTGACAGGCCCATACAAGGCAGCCCAGCTGTCCTGCGGCTTCATCTCTTACACTCCCCACCTCACTCTCTACCCTCCAACCACAGTTATCAGCTCTCTCCTGTGCCATCCCCTGCCCCCAGGCCCTTGCATAGCATCTCCATAATCTCACCACACCACTCTCCTTTTCACCTGCGAAAAATCCTCTCAGCCTGGACCCAAGCCTGCCTCCCTTCACCTCCTCCTAGTCCTGACTTGACCCATTCTCCGTGCCACGCCTCTCCCCTCTCACAAGTGATGTTACTGCCTTCCACAATCCCAGGATGAAGGGCAGAGCAAGGAGTTCCTTTCACCCAGTGTGGCTCAAAATCCTCTTTTTGTCTGAGCCTCTCTTGGAGAAGATGGGGCTTCTGCCCATGCAGCAGCTCCATGGATATGATCAGCTTCTCCGCTTCGGGTCCACAGAAGAAAAAGCAGGGGAGCAACCCTAGACATGGCCAGGTTGCAACCAAACGAGTCTGGGACCCAGTGAGAGACCCAGAGCAACAGAGCTTTCCAATGTCAGGGACAATGACTTGACCGTTCCCCAGTGGGAAGGCCTCCTTCCCACCAGCCCCCACTCTGCCCTTTCTCAGCAGGGATCAGCTGGGCAGATCACTAGAGGGTCTCTGTTGGAGGATCCAGAACAGGGGTTTTTCCCAAAAACCAGTCAGGATATGGAATCACAGATGATTCACTCAATGAGAGCCACCTGCCCATCACAAGACACCCAGAAAGCCCTCCACAGTCCTGTCTTGAATCATGCAGGGGTCAGCTCAAAGCCCCATCACACCAGGCCTGGCTTCCAGGACAGTCATGGACTCCGACTGCTTCTCAAGGCTTCCCTGGGTCCCCCTCAGGGTCACCCAAAGGGAACTGTTACCCAGGGTCCTGCATGGCTGGATTAAGATGGGGAGAGGACCATAGCATAGCTTTGGGTCTAGGCTTTGACTAGGCCCTGCTTTCTAAGCCTATAGGAGAGGCAGCTGTGAGAAGACGGGGGTGGCACCAGCTGGCTATTGAAGTCCAGTCTAAGAACGAGGTTCAGGGTAGGTGGGAGAAGATACACTGGCTTAGGGGAGCAGAGATGGTCGGAAGGAGATACTATAGTGATGTTCTGGTCAGAGGAGCAACTAAGCAAAATGGCCAAGAGAGGCCCCATGTGGCAGCTGGTTCTTGGGGAACCACAGCCAAGCCTCCAGAGCTGCATCACACACCCAAACCAAAATGAACTTCTGGAGTGTGAAGTACGATAGCAAAAGCTGCCCCAGAGCCACAGGTAGTTACAGATCCAGCACCATCTCACACCTGGTTATTAGTACTGTGGGACTTTTCATTATGAAATTGCAAATTCCAGGAGCACTTCAAACCCAAATGATTCCAGAGCATACCATGGAAAAGAAAGAGAAGCAGGTATTTCTGACAGGCAACTCTGAGGGATACTGCAGAGGGAGTGAGCAGGGGATGATTTTGTGTCTGTGTCCACCAAGAATCTAGAAAGATAAAGCAATTTAAAAAGGAACATTTTGGCCAGGTGCGGTGGCTCATGCCTGTAATCCCAGCACTTTGAGAGGCCGAGGTGGGCAGATCACTTGAGGCCAGGAACTCGAGACCAACCTGGTCAACATGGTGAAACCTCATCTCTACTAAAAATACAAAAATGAGCCGGGTGTGGTGATGCATGTGCCTGTAGTCCCAGCTACTCAGGAGGCTGGGGCAGGAAAACTGTTTGAACCCGGGAGATGGAGGTTGCAAGGAGCTGAGATTGTGCCACTGCACTCCAGCCTAGGTGACAGAGCAAGACCCAGTCTCAACAAAAAGGAAGAAAAAAAAAGGAACATTTTAATTGAGCTACTATCATGGATTAAGTATTTACTATGTGTTAGGCCCTACTCTGAACCCTTTATACATGTATTTTCTCATTTATGGTAGGCATAATTATTATCCTCTCTTTTAAAGATGAAGTTAAGGCTCAGAAAGGTTAAATGGCTTGGCTAAGGCCACACAGCTTATTAGTGGCAGAGCTGGGATCTGAATCCCGGCAGTCTAACTCCAAGACCATAATGAAATACCTCTTAGAATACCAGTATAATTCAGAAGAAAAAGTTTTGAATCAAGACTCAAGGGACCTGGATTCTGGGACAATTCTGCCAATTACTGCCCCTACTTATGCAATCCTGAACAAATCATCTCAGCTTGTTGGGCCTCAGCTCATCTGTAAATTGAGAAGTTGAGCAGGGTCAGGAATAGGAAGTGAGTGCATATGCGCCTCTCCTCTGTTACTGTGCCCGTGGCACACATCAGACATCACTAATCAACCACAGCACGCACTCTGAGTCCAGGTGACGACTTGCCTATTCTCCAACCTGCACTCAGACAACCACTACTAATCAAGTGGAGTTTGCAAATGAAATGTCTTTGCTTTCCCAGAGCTAGATGTTTCTAAGGTGTCTTCTGACTCTTAAAAACCTATAACTGTTACTGGGGTTCTAAAGACAAAATTTTAATTCTAGCCCCAACTCCAAGTAGATTATTGTCTCTATGCCTCAGTCTTCCTTCTGCAAGATGGACAGTCTGTCACACCATCATCTATGTGGTCAGCTCCATTTTCTCCCCTGTCCCAATGAACTACACTCCAGGCCAACGCCCAATCTGAGTTACACAGACCGAGTCTGCTCTTGGTGGACCTGACGGGGCCGGCTCCCCACACTGCCTCTCTAAGGGAGTCCAACAGGGGGGAGAGCTAAGACCAACGCCACTGACATGATAGGATGAAGGGACACCGGTTCCTTTGCATTGAGCACTGTTTCCAGAAGGTTCCAGTCAAAATAAGAATCTTCCCTAGAGGTGGTAACATAAGAAATTATGATCAGGCCAGGCGTGGTGGCTCACATCTGTAATCCCAGCACTTTGGGAGGTCGAGGTGGTTGGAACACGTGGTCAGGAGATCAAGATCATCCTGGCCAACATGGTGAAACCCTGTCTCTAGTAATATACAAAAATAATTCACCGGGCATGGTGGTGTGCGCTTGTAGTCCCAGCTACTTGGGAAGTTGAAGCACAAGAATTGCTTGAACCCAATTGCTTGAACCTCCAGGCAGAGGTTGCAGTAAGGGGAGATCACATCACTGCACTCCAGCCTGAGCAACAGAGTGAGACTCTGTCTCCAGAAAAAAAAAAGAAAAAAAGAAATTATGATCAGTCATTCACATCCTGGCAGGAGTTTCTTTACCTGTCTCTTTCCAGCCAGAGCAACTAACCTAGAGCAGATTTCTATGAAATGGGACAGTTTCCAAATGTAAGTTCTGTTTCAGAGAAGCCCATCCTAAAAGGAAGGTGGCAGATGGGGGTATCTGGAGAGGGCAGTTGCTAGTGGCTAAGAAAGCTTAATGAATAAAACATACAACACAGCTGCCAAGGATACTTGCATTTTAATAGAGAACAGAGTTTAAGCGAAAGGAATTACTTTCTAATGGTGGAATTACAAGCATCAATAATGATTTAGGGAAGAATTAAGCAAAGAAAGTTGTTCCAGCATCCCTGAAATCCCAACAAATGAGCTGATGTGACTGTGCAAGCCCTCAGCAAACAGCAAATGGGCTGCAAATTTAAGGGATTAATAATATTATTACTGGCAACTTGTGACTCTGCCTGCCAGTGAGCAAGCCTGCCATCACACAGACAAACCCAGATGCCCACAGGAGCCCAGGACATGTACTCTTTGGTCTGGAAAGCATCCATTTGGGAACCCAGTTGCCAGAAAAGCTGAAGAGGACCCTTCCCTCCATCTGCCCCTTAATCACACACACTGAGAAGATGCATAATTAATTTGTTCTCAACAGTTGTTCAGCGGCTAGAAGAGTGAGGGCATCTCTGGAATGGCAATTACAGTCAAGAAAAACAAGTGTTAGGCCGCGAGCAGAATGCAGCAGCCAGCCTGCTTCCCTTCCCCACCATGCTTGCTCAGGCCACAGGCCTGAATGTGGGACAGGAGTCTTTTTCATTTCCTCAAAGCCTGGGGCTCTTGGGGGCTGGTGGGAAAGAATAGAAAACAAAACTCTGGCTAGACAAGGTTACTCACGCCTGTGATCCCAGCATTTTGAGATTCTGAGATGGGAGAATCACTTGAAGCCAGGAGTTTGAGACCAGCCTGGGCAACTTAGTAAGACCCCATGTCTACAAAAAAAATTTTTTAATTAGTTAGGAGTAGTGGCACACACCTGTGATCCCAGCTACTCAGGAGGCTGAGGCAGGAGAATCACTTGAACCCAGGAGGTGGAGGATGCAGTGAGCCATGTTTCAGCCACAGCATTCCAGCCTGGATGACAGAAAAAGACCTAGTCTTAAAAAAAAAAAAAAAGAAAGAAAGAAAAGAAAAGAAAAGAAAAAGAAAAAATACCCTCGACCAGGCACAATGGCTCACACCTGTAAACCCAGCACTTTGGGAGGCCAAGGCAGGTGGATCACTTGAGGTCAGCAGTTCAAGACAAGCCTGGCCAACATGGTGAAACCTGTCTCTACTAAAAATACAAAAATTAGCTGGGCGTGGTGGTGCATGCCTGTAATCCCAGCTGCTCTGGAGGCTGAGGCAGGAGATTTGCTTGAACCCAGGAGACGGAGATTGCAAGATTGTGCCACTGCACTCCAGCCTGGGTGACAGAGTGAGACTCCATCACAAACAAACAAAAAAAAATAGAAAGGAAGGAAGGGAGGAAGGGAAGGAGGGAGGGAGGAAATGAAGGAAGGAAGGAAGGAAGGAAGGAAGGAAGGAAGGAAGGAAGGAAGGAAGGAAGGAAGGAAGGAAAAAAAAATACCCTGAAAGATACAGGGAAGAAGGCCTCACTCTAACCTCAGAGAGACAGCTAAAATAGGCACAAAGCTCAGGGACAATGTGAAGACCAACAGGCAGCACATTTGGCGGACAAGTGAACACACATAGAAATTAGATGAAATTAAAGAACTCCTGTTAATATCATTAGCTGAGATAATCACATGATAACTTAGAAAAATATCAGTTTTTAGAGATGCACACTGAAATTACAGGTGACATGCCATGATTTCTATAATTTGCTTAAATTTGTCAGCAAAAAAAATAATAATAATAATGAAAGAATTATGGCAAATTTTTTGTTTGTTTGTGTGTCATGTTTGATTGTTTTACAGAGACAGGATCTCACTCAGTCGCCCAGGCTGGGGTACAATGGTGCCATCATAGCTCTCTGCAGCCTTGAACTCCTGGGCTTAGGCGATCTTCCTGCTTCAGCCTCCCAAGTAGCTGGGACTACAGCTGGTCTAGAACTCCAGGCCTCAAGTAACACTCCTTCCTCAGCCTCCTAAAGTGCTGGGATTACAGGCATGAGCCACCATGCCTGGCCTGGCAAATTTTTTTTTTTTTTTTTTTTTTAAAGAGTGTCACTCTGTCACTCTGTCACTCAGGCTGGAGTGCAGTGGTGTGATCTCGGCTCAGTGCAACCTCCATCTCCCAAGTTCAAGCTATTCTCCTGCCTCAGCCTCCCAGGTAACTGGGATTACAGGCACACACCCACGCCTGGCTAATTTTTTTTTTTTTTTTTTTTTTGTATTTTTAGTAGAGATGGGGTTTCACCATGTTGTCCAGGTTGGTCTTGAACTCCTGACCTCAAGTGACACACCCGCCTCAGCCTCCCAACCAAAGTGCTGGGATTACAGGCCTGAACCACTAAGCCTGGCCTGGCAAATTTCAGATCTAGGTGCCAGGTATAGGGGTTCAGCCTATTATTCTCCACACTTTTTAATTACATTTGAAATTTTTTATATAGAGTTTTTTTTCCCCTAAAGATCCAATAGCAGATCCCAGCCTGCTGTTCCTAACTCTTCACTGCCACGTAGGAGGCCCTGTGTTCTTGACCTGAGCTCCCAGGGTTCCTCCAGGCCAGTGGTCCATACAGCATGGGGTTCCGTGTTGTTCCGTTGACCTGTGCCAGTCTCTCTCGTCTCATTTTGTACCACATGCCCTATCGTTCACTCTAGTCTATCACTCGGGCCTCCCTCCATGTCCTTCAGTGAGCCAAGCTCATTGCCACATCGGGGCTTTTAGGCTTGCAGTTTCCCTCTCCAGGGCTGGCTTCAAGGGCATGCAGCTGCCCTGCACTTGGGAAGGCCTGAGTGTGTGGTTTAATGCCCTGCAGTCACTGTGGAAGTCAGAATAATGCCCTTGCCACCTGAGATGTACATGTCCAGCTCCCTGGAATCTATGAATGTGTTACCTTACATGGCACAGGGAATGAAGATTGCAGAAGAAATGAAGGCTTCTTTCTTTCCCCTTCCTTCCTTCCTTCCTCCCTCCCTCCCTCCCTCCCTCTTCCCTCCCCTCCCCTCCTCTCCCCTTCCCTTCTCTCCCTCCCTCCCTGCTGCCCTTCTTTCTTTCAGATTGAGTCTCACTCTGTCGCCCAGGCTGGACTGCAATGGCACCATCTCAGCTCACTGCCACCTCCACCTCCCTGGTTCAAGCTATTCTCGTGCTTCAGCCTCCCAAGTAGTTGGGACTTCAGGCGCACACCACCATGCTTGGTTAATTTTTGTATTTTTAGTAGAAACAGGGTTTCACCATGTTGTCCAGGCTGGTCTTGAACACCTGGCCTCAAGTGAACCACTCCCCTCAGCCTCCCAAAGTGCTGGGATTACAGGCGTGAGCCACCACACACGGCCAGTTTAATTTCTTAATCTGCTGACCTTGACAGTGAGATTATCCAGAATTACTCAGATTGGCCCGGTGTAATCACCATGGCTTTTATAAGTGGCAGAGAAAGGCAGAAGAGAGCCAGGGAGATGGGAGGGGGAGAAGGACTTAGCCAGATGTCACAGGCTTTGAAGATGGAGGAATGGGACCATGAGCCAAGGAATGTGGACAGCCTTTACAAGATGGAAAAAAAAAAAGGAAAAGAATTCTCCCCTAGAGCCTCCAGAAGAATCGCAGCTCTGCTGACACCTTAATTTTCTCCCAGTGAGAACCGTTCCAGACTTCTGACCTCCAGAACTATAAGAGAATGAATGTATAGTTTGAAGCCACTATGTTTGTGAACATTTGTTAGAGCAGTCACAGGAAACTAATAGTCATAGGAAGCTACTGTATTAGTAGCTGCCACCTCCACCTCCCTGGTTCACGCTATTCTTGAATTTGAAATTTTTGAATTTGTGTTTTGGAAGTGAAGTCTGATAGGACAAAGGAAGGTGCGCCAGAAGATTCAGCTCCACACAGTCCCACCTCCTTGGCTGACCATTCCCTGCCCCGAGTACCCCAGCTCCTCCCCGCCTCCCTACTTCTTTTTTCCTTTTTTTTTTTTTTTTTTTTTTTTGAGACAGGGTCTCACTCTGTCCCCCAGGCTGGAGTGCAGTGGTGCAATCTCAGCTTGCTGCAGCCTCGACTTCCCGGGTTCAAGCGATTCTCCTGCCTCAGCCTCCCAAGTAGCTGAGGAGGCGCGCACTACCACACCTGGCTAATTTTTGTATTTTTAGTTTCATCATGTTGCCCAAGCTGGTCTCAAACTCCTGATCTCACGTCATCCACCTGCATCGGCCTCCCAAAGTGCTGGGATTACAGGCCAGCCACCACATCGGGCCCCATCTCCCTACTTCTACCTGCCATCACTGCTGCTCTCTGCAAGCAGTGCACCGGGAAGGGGAGGCCTGCATTGTGCACTGCTCTCCACCCTGCAGGTGGCCTTGACACAGGCACGGGGAGGGTTGGGGTCACACAGGTGCCACATGTTATCCAGCCCCATCCTAAACTAGAACAGCCACAGCAAGCTGAGCACACAGCTTGGCAGGCACCTCTCACCCACCCCCATCCAGATCCTGAGCTCGCCCCAGCACACAGCTTGCCATTTCCCGGAACCTGCCCATCCTTTGAAGGTTGGGGCAGCAGGGCCATGGGAAGGGAGGCTTTCCCACGCCCAGCCAGAGCCCAGCATTTTCATTTTGCACTAGTCCTCGTAATCACATGGCCGGCCCTGCCTCTTCCTCTAACAGTCTCCCCGCAGCCCTTCACTTGCTAGTCCTTTGATCATTCTTCAGTTTCAGCTGAAAAACATCATGCGAGAGAGCCCTTCCCAGACTCTCCCTCAGCCCCTCTTTATCCCATGACTACATTTTATCTCCTTTAGGGCACTCAGCAAGAGCTGAAATGACCTTGTTTACTTAGACCCACAGTGATTTCCTGAAAAGTGTACACTGAGACCACTCTGTGTGTGGCAAGCACTGTTCTTAGTGCTGCAGACACAGCAGCAAGCAATACAAACAAGTCCCCTATCCTCCTGGAGCGGATGTGCTTTTGAGTCCCATCATTGTGAATTACCTCTTGTCCTCCCAAGAACAGACCATTGTACACCCAGCACCCCACACAGTGCCTGGAACATAGTAGGCATTCAATAAATATCACTGAACAATTGGCTGAATGAATAGTGGCTTAGATAGTCTGCACTGTGGCCAGGCACAGCAGAGAGACATCCCCCTTCATCCCATAACATGTTGGGGGTTAGGGGGTAAAGATCTTTTCCATAAGCAAAAAACTGGAGCGGGAGCAGGTGCAGTGGCTCACGAGTGTAATCCCAGCAGCTTGGTAGGCCAAGGCAGGTGGATAGCTTGAGCCCAGGAGTTCGAGACCAGCCTAGGCAACATGGTGAAACCCCATCTTTACTACAAATACAAAAAATTAGCCAGGCATGGCAGCACGTGCCTGTATTCCCAGGTACCTGGGAGGCTGAAGTGGGAGAACCACCTGAGCCTGGGAAGTCCAGGCTGCAGTGAGCCATGATTGCACCACTGCACTCCACCCTGAGCGACAAGAGTGACACCCTGTCTCAAAAATAATAATAATAGATTGGAGGGAAGAGAAGCTTAAAGACAGATTGGGGCTGTGGGAGGGACAGCACCCCAGTTCCTGAACCACCTTGCCTTAAATTAGCTTCACATATGTCTTGCTGTTATCAGTCAACAGTTTATTTGTATATTTAAGTGAAGTTATTCGGCTAATTGGACATATGTCTCACGGTTCTACAGGGAAAAGTCTATTAAAAAGTCTTGCTGTAACAGGCAAGAGCTTTGAGAGTAGTTTTATTCAGGGACAGGAAGAGAGCTGAGTGGATTTTAATTTGGTAGAAAATAGCTGCTTGGGGCCAAGACAGTGAGAAGTGGGAAATCAAGAACAGGCTATTAGATTATTACTGCTGTTAACAAGCATCTCGATCACCCTTACGGCTGCGGAGTGCCTTCCGTCAATTTTATTAGTTATATTACAGCCTTCCATCTAGCCCTGCTATTCCAGCAATTCGCATTTTGGAGCTGTGGCCACTGAGGCAAGAGAAACACATCTCATCCAAGCCAGTATGAGTCTGTCCTCACAGCACCTGCAGCCTAACTTTGTCAACATGTTAATACATGGGAATTTTCTGAGTCCAAGATGAACAGCCCAAAGGGTTTCAGGAAAAATTGCAGAGGGCTGAGGGGATGGGAGAGAGGTAGAGAAAAAAACACTGATGTCTCGAGGCTTGACAGATGGCTCTGATGCCCTGATACAACACAGAACCCCATGCTGTATGGACCACTGGCCTGGAGGAACCCTGGGAGCTCATCCAGTCCAGATTAGTGAGCCGGGGAGTAGAGTGGTTACAGGCACAGCCTGAGGAGCTGCACCATTTGGCATTAATTCTAAGTTCCTGTAGTGGGTTGAATGGTGGCCCCCAAAACAATATGTCCATGTTCTACCCCTGGAATCTGTGACTGTAACCTTATTCAGAAAAAAGGGTCTTTGCAGATATAATTAAGAATTTTTAAGATGAAGCTGGGCATGGTGGCTCACGCCTATAATCTCAGCACTTTGGTAGGCTGAGGCAGGCAGATCACTTGAGCCCAGGAGTTGAAGACCAGCCTGGCCAGCACAGCGAAACCCTGTCTCTACAAAAAAATACAAAAATTAGCCAGGCATGATGATGCATGCCTGTAATCCCAACTACTTGGGAGGCTGAGGCAGGAGAATCACTTGAACCCAGGAGGCAGAAGAGATTGTACCACTCTACTCCAGCCTAGGCAACAGAGCCAGACTGTCTCAAAAAAAAAAAAAAAAGAATTTTTAAGATGAGATCATCCTGGATTGCCCAGGTGGACCCTAAATCCAATGACAGTTGTCCTTATTAAAAACAAGAGGTAGGCCAGGCACGGCGGCTCACTTTGGGAGGCCAAGGCAGGTGGATCACAAGGTCAGGAGTTCGAGACCAGCCTGACCAACATGGTGAAACCCTGTCTCTACTAAAAATACAAAAAATTAGTTGATTCCCCTGTAGCCGGATGAGGTGGCAGGCACCTGTAATCCCAGCTACTCGGGAGGCTGAGGCAGGGGAATCGCTTAAACCCGGGGGTCAGAGGTTGCAGTGAGCCAAGATCGCACCATTGCACTTCAGTCTAGATGACAGAGCAAGACTCCATCTCAAAAAAAAAAAAAAAAAAGAAAGAAAGAAAGAAAAGGTAGAGGAGATAGAGGCTTAGATTGCAGAGATTGCAATGATGCAGCCACAGGAATGCCTGGTGCCACCAGAAAAGGCAAGGAAGGGTTCTTCCCTAGAATGCTTCCCACCAGCAGCATGGTCCTGGGGGTTCTTTGATTTTGGGCCTCTGGCCTTAAGAAATGTAGGAGAATAAACTTCTATTGCCTTAAACCACCCAATTTGTGGTAATTTGTTATGGCAATCACAGGAAATTAGTACACCCGCTTGCTAGCTGTGGACGCTTGAACAAGTCACTCCATCCGTCTGTTCATCAGTTTCTTCATCTGTAAAACAGGGATGATAACAATGGTATTTACCTCATTGGGCTACTGTAAAAATTAAATGAGATAATAGAGACCCCTAAGTACAGTGCAGCAGAAGCCATCTTCATCCATTTGTGCTTCTATAACAAAATCCTTGAGACTGGATCACTTTTTAAAAACAAAACAAAACATTGTTTTAAATAGTTCTAGAGGCTGGGAAGCCCATGACCAAGAGACCCGCATCTGGCAAGGGCCGTCTTGCTGGGTCATCCCATAATGGAAGGTAGAAGAGTCAGAGAGCCCATGAAAGGGTGGGGATTGTGGGTGGAGACAGAGAGGGAGAGAGGGAAGGTACCCAAAATGAACCCATTCCCACGGTAACAGCATTATTCCATTCATGAGGGCAGAGCCCTTATGACCTAATTATCTCTTGAAGGTCCTACTTCTCAACACTCTTGCTTTGCAGATTAAGTTTCTAAAACACGAACTTGGAGATACCCATTAGTAGGAGCCTACCTGATGAACTCATTAAAAATATGGCTTTTGGCAGGGCTCATGCTTACAATCCCAGCACTTTGGGAGGCCGAAGCAGGGGGAATGTTTGAGCTCAGGAGTTCTAAACCAGCCTGGGTAACATGGCGAAACCTTGTCTCTACAAAAAATACAAAAATTAGCCAGGTGTGGTGGTGCAAGCCTGCAGTCCCAGCTATTCGGGAGGCTAAGATGGGAGGATCAATTGAGCTCAAGAGGTAGAGGATGCAGTGATGCAGTGAGCCATGATCAAGCCACTATACTCCAGCCTGGACACCAGAGTGAGGCTTTCCAGGCCTTACCTCAGAATCACTGACAATAAATCTTTAGTGTACAGGACCAAGGAATGTGTGCTTTATAAGGCTCCCCAGGTGACTGATTGTCTGACAGGTTGTGAACCACCTGGGTGCTGTCCCATTCCCACCTTAATGACAGACATAAAATCTCTTCTGTTTCTGGAAAGCTGCTTTACAGCTGTTCTGGGTGAAGGACATTTGGCTTTGTTGCATGGGAATGATAAACAATGAATCCAAAATACTGCTTAATTCTGGTTATACAGAAAGAAGGCTGGAGTCAGGAAAGAAGTACCCATAGGCTACAACTGCATGGGTAAGGTATTATTTTTGAAATTGGGCAATGATCATGAGGGTGATCACTGAATTATTTTTTACACTTTGTCTTAGGTCTTAAATATTTCGCATTTTTTAAAATACAAGCTGTATGCAGATATGGAAAAATAAAATGCTGGTATTGGCCATGGTCCCTAGGTAACTAATAAGTCTAGACCAAGGATACTTCTATGCACTCCAGTACTAAATTGCCTCAGCCACAGGGAAGTCCTAGCTTATGCCTACCCCGCATCTCTCATGATGTTGCCACATCCATTTCCAGCAGAGGTGGAAACAGCTCCGAAGCACCCAGTCCAGGGCGGGTCAGAAAACTGCTGGAGGTTTTCAGTGGGGAAAGCAATCAGCAATGAAAAGCCCAGCCTGGGTTGGTCTGGGATAGGGTCTGAGATGGGCAAGGGTAGGCTGAAACCAGGGTTACTCCAGTTCCTGCCCCATAGAGGGCCTTGTTAGAAGTGTAGGTCCTCACAATGCAGGACCTTCTCTGTGGAGCTGGGTGTTGTGCCTGCTCCACTTACCCTGTAGAACCAGGTGGTAGGGGCAACTGGAGGGCAGCTCTGAAGTAGCAGGAAGCCCACCCATGTGTCCAGGCAGCCCACATAGGTGAGGGAGCTGCAGACATGCACACGAGAGGAACTGTGTGCTGATCAGAATGGAGAGATGCCCAGCACACAGCAACGGGCTCATACCACCAAAAACCCAGGGGGTTGTTTTGTTTCATTATAGCTGTGGCCTTTGGAAAAGATCACTGCTTTAGAACCACAGCAGCAAACACCATCACATCAGGCATCTCCAATCCTAAAGCATTCCCAGGAGATGAATGGTGTGAGCTAGGAAAAGAGAAGAGCCGGAAAGAGAGTAGCCAAAAACAGCAGGGTAAAGATCGAGACAAGAGTGGGTGCAAGCCAGGGCATAGCCCAGTAGCATCTGCTACGGATGCTGCAGCCTTGTTTCTCAAAGTACGACCTTGCAGCAGTGATGGTATGCAAAAGGTGGTACAAGAGGCAATTTCAGCTGGTACCCAGAATATTTATTTGCATATGCATTAGATAGACAGAGAGAGAGAGAAAATCAAACCTGTAATTTCACAGATATTTTTGCTTAGAACAAAGCCAAGAAAGGAAAAAGTGTTGACAGGATGAAAAATATCACAGAAATACCTGAATAGTTGGTTATAAAGAAGTGTATGGGAATAATAAACAATGAATTGAAAATACTGCTTAATTCTGGATATGCAGGAAGAAAGTTGGAGTCAGGGAGGAAGTACCCACGGGCTATAACTGCATGGGTAAAGTGTACTATTTCTGAAATTGGGCAATAAGCATGAGGGTGATCACTGAATTCCTTTTTACACTTTGTCTTAGGTCTTAAATATTACACATTTTTTAAAATACAAGCTGTATACAGATATGGAAAAATAAAACGCTGGTGTTGGCCATGGTCCCTAGGTAACTAACAAGTCTAGACCAATTGAGAGGGTAGCTGGCATTTCCCTGATTGCCTAGGACCTACAGAGAAGCCACTACACAGTGAGCCCAATCTCCAGGGAGAATCACATTTTCTCCCAGGCCCACATTAACCCCCAGGACTCCCACTGATGGCCATGGGCCCTACCAAGTTTCTCCCCAGGTCACGTCAAGGCTCAAGAACCTACTCCTACAGAATCCTCCAGAATCAGAACGGTTTTGAGGTCAGGGCCACTGTGGAAAACTGCACAGATTTCGATGCAGTATTCAGAAAGCTAAAAAGGAGGTGCTAGACTCACAGACTCTGTCTCCCTAATTCCAAAGAACTGGTCCTTAGATGACCCAACCAGAGAGAATTAAATGCAGCTCATGCTCCTGCAGAAATTATCACAAACTCCGAGAAAGCCAGTCACCAAGATAGCAAGGATTCAATTTCTCTCCTCCTCTATGCAGAACACTCCCAAGCAAACATTCCGTGATGACAAACAAAAGCAGCAAAAGTGGGTCTAGACGCACAGTGCTTGAAAACTCACTGAAAAGATTCCATGACAGGTCGACAGGTGCTGCACGTGCAAAGGAGCTGTAGCTCAATGAGACCCAGACCACTACTCCAGGAGGAACGCATCCCAGCCCCATCTCCCAAGAAAAGCTACCCCTGAACATGCCCACCTTGCCTGGAAGTTAGCTGCTGTCAGGGATCAGGAGAAGTAATTCCAGACCAGGGGCCAGAGTTCTAATAGACAAATCAGTCCTGTAGCTGGTGATTTCATGCCTTCTGCCCCCCTACCCCCAACCCTCAACTATGACAACTTGAGGGCAGAGGTTGAGTCTTACTTCCCATTTTCTCCTCTGAGCCTCACCCTGTACCTGACACAGAGCAGGCTCAGTTAACGTTAGCTAATGTAATAGATGGATGGAAGGATGGTGAAGAAATGTCCTGGTTTGGCCAGACCAGATCCCAGGTTTCAGGGAATATTCCTGAAGAACCAGACATTGCTACAGTTCCCTTTGCAGACAAACAGGATCTTTAAAATGCTTAGTGAATTATACCTTCACTAGACTGGTAGGATGGTTATCCTCAAAACTGGCAGTTGTTCAATAGCTTCAGAGTTGAAACTCTTTCCTGAAGCAAAGAGCCAGCACCTATCAATTCCTTTTGAAGGGTCTACCCTCCCCTCCATAGGAGAATGCTAAATATTTGTTAACTGTTTTATTGATTAAATGAGTAAAGGAACTTCAGGGAGGTGGCTCTATTGCCCTTCTTCCTCCTCCGGTGTTTCCCAAATCCATCCCAGGCAGCAGCAGAGCCTCAGGCTCAGAGGAGGGAGGGTGAAGAGGCAGGAGGAGCGACTCCAGCAGCAGCAGCCAGTTGGCAAGAGCTGCTGCACAGGCATCTTTGTGTCTACTTTCTGTCCAACTTGGTGCTTTTCCCCAGACTGGAAGCAGATATACAGGGAAACGACAGAGTATAAAGTGCAAAGAACATGAGATTGGGCAGTATCTGAACATCAAGATCAAGTTCATGATGTGCTACACACCTGCTGGGGATGTAAGAAATCACATCACTGGCCAGGTGCGGTGGCTCACGCCTATAATCCCAGCACTTTGGGGATTACAGCCAAGGCGGGCGGATCATATGAGGTCAGGAGTTCGAGACCAGCCTGGCCAATACGGTGAAATCCTGTCTCTACTAAAAATACAAAAATTAGCCAGGCATGGTGGCATGCGCCAGTAGTCCCAGCTACTCAGGAAGCTGAGGCAGAAGAATTGCTTGAACCCGGAAGGTAGAGGCTGCAGTAAGCCGAGATCATGCCACTGCACTCCAGCCTGGGTGATACAGTGAGACTCCGTCTCAAAAAAAAAAAAAAGCCATCACATCACCTTTACAGAACTCTACTTCCACATGTGTACATTAGAGGCTTGAGCTTGCTGATGCCCAAGATGTCTTTCTCAAGTGCAGTGGAATAGTTATAGAGTTGTCACCCGACCTTAGCCCCTTACTCTGCCCCTCCAACCAATATCCACAGGCCAGAAATTTGAGTCCCTTTTTCTCCAAAACACTCTACCATATCCCATGGTTCTAAAGGTTGCAGGAGGCTGGGCATTGTGGCTCACACCTGTAATCCCATCCCAACACTTTGGGAGGCCAAGGCAAGAGGACTGCTTGAGCCCAGGAGGTCGAGGCTGCAGTGAGCCGAGATCACACCACTGCACTTCAGCCTGGACAACAAAGCAAGACCCTGTCTCAAAAAATAAATAAATAAAATAAAAGTTGACAGTGTCTGACTCTTGCCTCTAAGTGCAGATTTTAGTAATGCCAAAATAGCTGTCCCATACTCCAACCCAAAACACCCTATGTTCCTAAGCAAAGTTAGATGTAAAGATTAGCAGAATTTGATAGAAACAAATGGTTCTTATAGCAAATTTACAGCTACCTCCCCTCCCACAATCAGTACTACAGGAGAACATTCTATCCCTATGTTTCACACAACCATGCGGAGGGAGCCCTAGTATGCATAACACTCCTGACCTCTCTGTCCCACTCCTTCACTCCTTGTGGGAGAGATAATCACCAATCAGATTAAGGAATTTAGGAGAAGAAACAGAGTTTGCTCAGCTCACCCCTTCCTCTCTCCTCTCTGTTTGGGATCTGCTTATCTGCAAAGCATTGATTTTCAGCTCCTTCCTCCTCTAAGAGGCAGTCCCCCAACTGAGAGGCTTGTCCAGCCATGTCTGCCTGGGTAGGTAAGCCTCTCAAATTCAGGGGTGAAGTTCAGCAAGCCCACCTCCTCCAGACCCCAAACTATATGCTCAGCCCTGTGTCTATCAGTAATGAAGCTGATGAATTTTGATCACCACCTGGCAGGGTCCTGCATCTCCCTGACTCTGCTTCTCAGGTAAGGAAGAAGATATTAACCATTACTTGTAGTCCAAATATTAGGCGCTATAGTAACTAACCAAACAAACACATACTACTGACCTGAATCATCTGATACCACAGAAGCCCAGAGACCTACCTGGGAACAAGAATTTGAGCTTAGCTAAAAAAACTTCACACTCAAAGTAGCAATCAAGGTCACCTCCGACATTTAACTCTGATTTAAAAAAGAAAAGGTTCCTGTTCTTTTTCTCTCTCATAAGCACACAGACACATATAAACATGCAGGTTCACACACTTCTACCCACTGTCCAACACAGAAGCTCAAAAAATATTTTTGGCAAGTGGCACTGGTGTTAAAAAAAAAAATTCAATAACTGGTTGGGTACAGTAGCTCACGCCTGTAATCCCAGCAGTTTAGGAGGCCGAGGTGGGAGGATCACTTGTACCCAGGAGTTTGAGACCAGCATGGGCAACATGACAAGACTCTGTCTCATATTTAATTAAAAAAAAAATTGGCGAGGCACGGTGGCTCATACCTGTAATCCCAGCAATTTGGGAGACCAAGGCAGGCAGATCATTTGAGGTCAGGAGTTCGAGACCATCCTGGTCAAGATGGGGAAACCCTGTCTGTACCAAAAAATACAAAAATTACTTGGGTGTGGTGGCGCATGCCTGTAGTCCTAGCTACTCGGGAGGCTGAGGTGGGAGAATCGCTTGAACCTGCGAAGCAGAGGTTGCAGTGAACGGAGGTTGCCGTGAGCGGAGATCGCACCACTGCACTCTGGCCTGGGCAACAGAGCGAGACCCTGTCTAAAAAAAAAAAAGAAAATTTAATGATGCAATAACTTTAAGCATTCTCAATCACCAAAGGCTTAATAAATAACTTTACTGGAGAATTTTCCATGGCTCCCTATTGTCTATGGCTTAAAACCTGGCCTTGAGTCCCTCTGTTACCTAGCTCTAATCCTATTTGCCACTATGCCCCTTCACTCTCCTAGTCTCCAGTAACATTGAATTAATCTTTTTCTTATAGACAACCCCCAAAATTTCACCCATCACGCTCAGCCAAAATCACCTTGTCCCCAAGGCTACATGTTTCCATCAACCCACCTTTCCAAACTCAGCTCCCATACCAACTTAACTCATTCAACCTCACCTATTTCAGACCATTGTCTCTGCTCATGAATGCTTCAGTGGTCTTAACTATTTTAGAGTGTAAGAGAGTCAAACAAATAAGGAAATATATTGTAGATAAGAGGCAGGTTTATCACTGTCAGAGAAAGAGGTGATATTTAAAAAAGGGAGAATGCTAATATGGACTCTGTGATGTTGGACTAAAATTGGAGATATAAGCATCATTTCATAGTTTTTTGCCCAGATACGGTGGCTCATGCCCATAATCCCAGCACTTTGGGAGGCCAAGGCACCAGGATCACTTGAGGCCAGGAGTTCAAGACCAGCTTGGGCAACATAGTGAGACTCTGTCTCTACAAATAATACTTTAAAAAATTAGCCCTGCATGGTGGTGCACACCTGTAGTCCACTACTCAGGAGGCTAAAGTGGGAGGATAGCTTAAGCCCAGGAGTTGGAGGCTGCAGTGAACCATGATCGCACCACTACACTCTGGCCTGGGTCGTGACAGGGCAAGACCATGTCTCAAAAAAAAAAAAAATCTTAGTTTTTTAGTAGAAAGACAGAAGTGTGTGTATGTGTGAGTGAGTGTACACACATATATATCCTCACTCTGTCTCCTAGAAGGGCCTAGAAGCAATGGTACCCCAGTAGCAAAACGATATACCTAACCTCTACAACTTGGTTTCTAAATACCATTCTCCAGTAACAGGAACCAGGGCTCCTTGGAGAAGTAATTGATTCCAGGACAAGGAAAATACAGGATAAGCCTGAAGTATCTTTCAGTACAAGAATGTAAGGCAGTGCTCAATATAGGTTGGGGGTATATCAAAAGGACACAGGAGCCAACCTGAAAGAGCTCCCAGTGGCCAAAGGTGGAACCATTTGAGCAATAAAATAATGATTGTTTTGGATATAAAGGAAAAGTATTGTCTGGATTATATATGGGACATAGACCCCATAGAATAAAATAAATATCCATGAGTTCATAGTGATAAAAATAATTAAATGGCTGGGCGCAGTGGCTCACGCCTGTAATCCCAACACTTTGGGAGGCTGAGGAGGGCAGATCACCTGAGGTCAGGAGTTTGTGACCAGCCTAACCAACATAGTGAAACCCCGTCTCTACTAAAAATACAAAATTAGCCGGGTGTGATGGTGGGCACCTGTAATCCCAGGGAGGCTGAGGGAGGAGAATCGCTTGAACCCGGGAGGCAGAGGTTGCAGTGAGCTGAGACCACGCCACTGCACTCCATCCTGGGCAACAAGAGCAAAACTCCATCTTAATAATAATAACAATAATTAAATAACTAGGGGAGAACGGAAAGGTCTTTCTCACAGAAGAATTCCAATTAATAAATGTATAGAAGAAATGAGGAAAATAGAATATCATTAACATGTTCATTAAAATGATAAGGAGCTATCAAGGCTAACCCTATGCTCAGGATCTCCTCTCTGGCTGGTTTAAATAATCCACAATGTTAAATTAAGCAAAGCTTCTCATTTCCATTCTTATAAACGGAACAGGGGCAAAGGCTACCACCATCATTTTGTGGATAGAAAAGCAGAGGCTGGCCAAACATGGTGGCTTACGTCTGTAATTCCAGCACTCTGGGAAGCCAAGGCAGGTGAATCACCTGAGGTAAGGAGTTAAAGACCAGACTGGCCAACATGGTGAAACCCCATCTCTACTAAAAACACAAAAATTGGGCTGGGCGCAGTGGCTCATGCCTGTAATCCCAGCACTTTGGGAGGCCGAGGCGGGCGGATCACGAGGTCAGGAGATGGAGATCATTCTGGCTAATACAGTAAAACCCTGTCTCTACTAAAAACACAAAAAATTATCCGGGCATGGTGGCACTCACCTGTAGTCCCAGCTACTTGGGAGGCTGAGGCAGGAGAATCACTTGAACCCAGGAGGTAGAGGTTGCAGTGAGCCGAGATCACGCCAATGCACTCCAGCCTGGGAGATACAGCAAGACTCTAGCTCAAAAAAAAAAAAGCCTTTTAAAAACTAAAAAAATAAAAGCAGAGGTGCTTGGCAGTGGAGTAGGACTAGGTGCCAGGGGACCTGGCTCCAGGTCCAAAATGGCTCCAATTCTACCCAGCACCATCCAAACCTCTCTGCACCCTCCTTAGGCACTAAAATTTTTGAATTTCATTTCTTCCCTTGAGTTACGGGCCCTCCTGTGACTATCAAAACTCCATTTATGCTTAAAAGACCCAGCATGTTTAAGTGGCAAACTGAGGGCCATAGAAAAAAAGAAAAAGAAAAAAAAATAACCCCAGTATGCTTCTCCAAGAATCCACAGTATATAAGGACTCATTCGGCTGCAAGAAACAGCAAACTTAACTCAAACCACCTTGGGCAAAAAAAAAAGAATTTCCTGGTAGCTATAACTGAAATTCCAGCAGTAGTCTAGCTTCAATTTCAGCTAGATCTAGGGACTCAAATTATGCATTTCTTTTTTTTTTTTTTTTTTTTTGAGACAGAGTCTCACTCTGTAGCCAGGCTGGAGTGCAGTGGCCCAATCTCAGCTCACTGCAACCTCCACCTCCCAGGTTCAAGTAGTTCTCCTGCCTCAGCCTCCCGAGTAGCTGGGACTACAGGCGCCCACCACCACGCCCAGCTAATTTTTGTATTTTTAGTAGAGACAGGGTTTCACCATGTTGGCCAGGATGGTCTCGATCTCTTGACCTCGTGATCCACCCACCTCGGCCTCCCAAAGTGCTGGGATTACAGGCGTGAGCCACCGTGCCCAGCCAAATTATGCATTTCTTTGCAATACTAGCTCCATTCACAGACAGGCTTTCCCCTCATGGTGGCAAAGATGGCTGCCAACAGCTCCAAGCCAACATCTTACATTCTCAGCTCACTCAGCAGAAAAGAGAGAGCTGCTCTTCCCAGAAAAGTCCTGCGCACTGGCCAGAACTGGCTCTGGTGCTCAGGTTTCCTGAATCAACCTCCAGGGCCGGCAGAATAGACTCCGCTGATCACCTGGCTAATAAGGGTGGGGTGAGCCCTTCCCAAACTCATAAAGTGTACATCAATACAGCGGCTCCCCAGAGGAAAGTTTATATGCTGTTCCCCAAAATGAGAATGGCTTCCAAACTGAAAAATTAACAAATATCCACTACATCACAAACCCTCATCAGAATCAACTCTATCTTCTCTCCTCCAGCCCCATTCCTGGATGTCTACACCAGCAATGACTTCTGTATGCTTTATGAATAAGCCAGCTCACACACATCTCAGTTTATAAGCATCTTGAACACCAGGGATCTGGTTCTCCAAAGCACATGAGCCCCTCCCCACCACCTTGGCTGCCTAGCAAAGGGCCACTATGCCTCTAGAACACACTTCACGTTGGCTCTTAGCCCTCTGGTTCCAGATCTGAGTCACTGAGATCCCAGCCTTCCTGCGCCAACCTTGAAAGTGCTCGAAGTCACCGCCTGCCGAAGCTAGCCTCCTGGCTCTGACATACTCTGAGACCTGGAGATGCTGGCTTGACAGTTGAGATAACTATGTTTTACCCTTCACTCATTCCTTTATCAGCCACACTGACGAGAAGGGATAAGCGCTCCAATGGAAGAAAACACTCCTGCGGTATTTACTCATGCTCTTAGTGCCAGCCAGCTCCCCCTTCCCAGGCACAACTCCCAGAGACGGGCCTACACCCTGTTATCTGGTGCCAGCCGCCACGTGCTGTTCTCTTGTCAAATGCCAGGCTGCACTTTCCTTACTGCATTCCCCAAAACTGTCAGCTTATCTAGGAGCTACAGTGTCACTGCCTTTCAGATGACTTACATGTGACACGTGACAGGCAACTGTCTTTTTGACACCCATCGCCTGCCTCCTCTGCAGATTCCGTAAAGCAGAGGCCTTGCCCCTGTGTCCGAGCCTGCAAGCTCTCCGTAGAATGTTACACCAGTGGATGCCAAGGCCCATAGCACCGGTTAGCTGGAGAAAGAGGGGCAGGGAAGCGCAGTGGGCAATTATGTCTCAGAAGCAGGGACTTTGAGATCCTCCATAAAAACTAACATTTCGGTGCCTGTAGTCCCAGCTACTCGGGAGGCTGAGGCAGGAGAATCACTTGAACCCGGGAGGCGGAGGTTGCAGTGAGCCGAGATCGCACCACTGCACTCCAGCCTGGGTGACAAGAGCAAAAACTCCGTCTCAAAAAAAAAAAAAAAAACCTAACATTTCATTCACTCGTTCGTTCAACAAACCTTTATTCAGGACCTGTCACATCCTGGTGATGGATGCTGCAGACATGGAGATTCACAGCACAGACCAAGTCTCTGTCCTCATGGAACATACCTTGTAGGAGACATCTGACTTGTTTTTGATACCTGCTTTCTATTTCACAAGGCACTGAGATATTATCTACATAATCCTGAGTAAGTGGCATAACCATCTCTAATGACAAATGGCATCTCCAAAAGGCTAAATGAATATCCCAAAGCCGGCTTAGCTAAGTCACAAACTCGGGTCTTCTAACTATTAACCTCGTGCTCTGTCTGGGACCTCCCCAAAGGTAGGGAGGTGGCAGGATACAGGCTGGCATTGAAACAGACATTAAATCAACACAGGCCTACGCATCATCGCTAGAGATACAGATCGAAAAATCAAAGACTCAATCCCTGATCTAAAGGAACAGATAGTCTAAAAAGAAAGGCATGTAACCAACTATCGTCTGTGGCAAGAATAAAGATAAAATGATTAAATTCAAATAGGAAGACATCTCTGGAAGAATGCACAAGAAATAATAATTGCCTCCAGGCAAGAAAATTGGGTACCTGAGGAACAAGGGTAGGAGGGTCATTTTGTATGTTTCAAATACCGTATATTTTGATTTATGTACTATTTGAATGTATTTCCCATTAAATAACACTTTGAAGATGTAATCAGCCAAATCCTGAAGGTAGGAAATTCTACAGGATAAATTATCTGGTTTCTTCAACAAACAACTCAAAAAAGAGGGAGAGCGACGAAATGTTATAGACTTTTAAAGATGTAGAAAATGTCAACCTTAATATATCTACCTTATTTGGACATTTTGATCCAGATTTGAACAAACTAACTGTAAAAAGGCATTTTGGGGCTGGGCATGGTGGCTCACGCCTGTAATCTCAGCACTTTGGGAGGCCAAGGTGGGTGGATCACTTGAGGTCAGGAGTTCGAGAGCAGCCTGGCCAACACGATGAAACCCAGTCTCTACTAAAAATACAAAAATTAGCCAGGCGTGGTGGTGCGTGCCTGTAATCCCATCTACTAGGGAGGCTGAGGGAGGAGAATTGCTTGAACCCGGGAGATGGAGGTTGCAGTGAGCCAAGATCACACCACTGCACTCCAGCCTGGGCAACAGAGCAAGACTCCATCTCAAAAAAAAAAAAAAAGAAAGAAAGAAAGAAAGAAAGGAAAAGACATTTTGGGGACAAGGGAAATTGAATATGGACTATCTATTAGAGATTATTAAGGAATTGTCAGTTTTGTTAGGTATGATCATGGTCTTCTGGTTATATTTTTTTAAAGGTCCTTATCTATTGCAGGTATATACTAAAGTATTTACAGATAAAACAATGTGATGCCTGAGATTTGCATTTAAATATTTTGGGGAAAAAAATTAAGTGAATGAAGCCAGGCATGGTGGCTCACACCTGTTTTCCCAGCACTTCGGGAGGCTGAGGCGGCGGATCACTTGAGGCCAGGAGTTCAAGACCAGCCTGGCCGTCATGGCGAAACCCTGTCTCTACTAAAAACACAAAAATTAGCCAGGCGTGGTGGCCTGCACCTGTAATTCCAGCTACTTGGGAGGCTGAGGCAGGAGAAGCACTTAAACCTGGGAGATGGAGGTTGCAGTGAACCAAGATCACACCACTTCACTCCAGCCTGGGCCAAAGAGTAAGACTCTGTCTCAAAAAATAAACAAATAAATGAATGAATAAAAAAATAAATGAAACAGGCCTGGCACAGTGGCTCACACCTGTAATCCCAGCACTTTGGGAGGCCAAGGCAGGTGGATTACTTGAAGTCAGGAGTTCAAGGACAGCCTGGACAACATGCTAAACCCTGCTTCTACTAAAAACACAAAAATCAGCCAAGTGTGATGGTGTGCATATGTAATCCCAGCCACTCAGGAGGCTGAGGCAGGAGAATCACTTGAATCCAGGAAACGGAGGTTGCAATGAGCCGAGATCACACCACTGCACCCCAGACCGGGTGATGGAATAAATAAATAAATAAATAAATAAATAAATAAATAAATAAATAAAGGGGGGAAAGATGACTAACAAGATGGGCAAAATGTTGATAGTTTCTGAAGCTATATGACAGTTCCACCAGAGTTCATTCTACTGTTCTCTCTACTCTTGTGGATGGTTGAAATTGTCATAATAAAAAGTTTAAATAAAAATTTAGAAATTAATTATTCCATCCACATAGGAAAACTGAGAAGAAAAGCATCACAGAGGAGAGCTTGAGCCGAGTCCAGAAGGATGACGAGGACTTTTCTAAGGGGCAAAGGGGTTCCTTTGCATTCCTGGCTGAGAGGACTGCCTGAGCACAGACATGCCAATCTATCACAAACCTCTCTCTGGAGGAGCCAAAGGTATCTACACTTGACCTCAAACTCAACCTACATCCACAAAAAATGCCCTCTTGTTTGATCTCCCAAGTCTCCGGGATATCTAAACACATATCAACATCAACTACCCTGTTCCAAGTGACGACAGAGAGTTTGGGGTTGACAGCTCAACTCAGAGGCCTACGAGAGGCCCCAGAGTAGGCCTCAGAGGATAGGACAGCAAGTAACCTCTTTCAACTGGGTTTTGCCTGACAAAACAGTTTAGAAGCCAGCTGAGTTATCTGCGGGACAGAGCCTACATCCCTCCTGAGTCATCCCAGACCCTTGTACTCCCCAGAAACACACACTGGCCTCTCCCACAGCACCTTGCAAATTGATAACCTCAGTACCATGGCATCCAGCTTGATGACAGTCTGACAGCACCCCTCAGAAGCACTGAAACCTCTGTGTGAAGGAGGAAGTGGTCCTCCTCTCCTTCCTTCCAAACCCTCAGTGGCCAATGCCCCCAGCCTCAATCCCCTACACTGCCCTCTGCCCAATTCCAGCTGTACACAGGAAGCTTCGTGGCTAGGCAGCTGCTTCAGGATTTATCCAATCCTAGGCCGGGCACAGTGGCTCATGCCTTTAATCCCAGCACTTTGCGGGGGTGAGGTGGGAGGATCACTAGAGCATAGCAGTTCAAGGGTTATCCAGTCCTGGCCTGGCTCAGATGGGTCCCATGGGTTACTTACCTTAGATCTCAGCTGCAAGTACTCCTCTGAGCCATAAGGGACACTCTTCAGGGAAGTGAGGTAGTCGTAACTGATGACAGCCGTCTGTGAACCAAGGCAGTGGAGAAAAGCTTAGCACCTGGACATTAAGTACTACTACTCTGCCCAAACCTTGCAGTACAGGTCCCTGACACAGCTGCTATGTCTGGGGGAGTGGCCAGTCCCACCCCTAAGATGCCTGGCCCCTGGATCTTATTCTAGCTAGCTTCCTCCTGTTATTCAGGACTCTGTGCAAATGCCACCTCTGCAGGGGCCCACGCCAAAATTGCCCCTCTTACCTGAAACATTCAATTATTTATCATAACAAACTACCATCCAACATTACCTTGCTCATTTGTCTCCTTGTTTATGAACTGTCTCTTCCTATAAGCTTAAACTCTAAGCTCTAGAAGCACGGGGGCTTGTCCTTCCTGTCCATCACTTACCACAGCACCTTTTACACTGCCAGGCACATTGAGTAAATGCTCAATCAAAGCTACTTGAATAAAGTTGTTACATAAACTTAGCCCACTTCTCCACATCACAAATAAACATTATTTTATATGTATGTTTGCTCTAATAGCATAAGTCTTTTTTTTTTTTTTTTTTCTGAGACAGAGTCTTGCTCTGTCACTCAGGCTGGAGTGCACTGGCATGATCTCGGTGATCTTGGCTCACTGCAGGCTCGGCCTTCCAGGTTCAAGCAATTCTCCTGCCTCAGCCTCCCAAGTAGCTGGGATTATACACACATGCCACCACACTCGGCTAATTTTTGTATTTTTAGTAGAGATGGGATTTCGCCATGTTGACCAGGCTGGTCTCGAACTCCTGACCTCAGGCGATCCTTCCACCTCAGCCTCCCAAAGTGCTGGGATTACAGGCATGAGCCACCGCGCCTGGCCCTAATAGCATAAGTCTTGATTCTGTGTTCCCTTATCCAGAGTGAATCAGAAAATTCCAATCTCCACGATATCCTAGGCATGGAAGGGCCTTAGGGATTATCTACCCCAAACCTTCCTTTATAGAATTGAGTAACTGGGACCCTAGAAGTTCAGGGACTTACAAAGTTGATATTAAGAAGAGTTTCTTCCTTTGCACTCTACAAAGCTTTATCCTATTCGACATATGCTTGCTGGACACCAACCACAAGCAAGACTTGGTCACTGAGTAGTGTTCAAAGACAATCCAGACCAGAGCTCTGGCCTTTAAAAAATGGACAGCTTTGTGGCTGTTTATAAAGCGTATCTTCCTCCTCCTTTCCAACTATTCAAATCTCTAAGATTCCATTCCTGATCCATATCTGCCTCCCTCCTTTCCAACTATTCAAATCTCTAAGATTCCATTTAAAACCTGCTTCTGGCTGGCCTGAAGGTATTGAGTTATCTCAATTGATTGTTCACAGTCAGTCACAGATCAAACTCCTTGCTCTACTCTTTCTCCCCTTCTCACTATTGCACTTGACTAGTCTAAAAATATATATATACAGGCCGGGTGTGGTGGCTCACACCTGTAATCCCACCACTTTGGGAGGCCAAGCCAGGCAGATCACTTGAGGTCAGGAGTTCGAGACCAGCCTGGCCAACATGGTATAACCCCATCTCTACTAAAAATACAGAAATTAGCCAGATGTGCTCACTTGGACCCAGGAGGTGAAGGCTGCAGTGAGCTGAGATGAGATCACACCACTGCACTCCAGCCTGGATGACAGAGCAAGATTCTGTCTCAAAAAAATAATAATAATAAATATATATATATATGGATTTGGATGCATGGATTTGGATTGTTTTTTAACCTATTACTGTAGGCATTACTCAACCATATATGTGTGTATACACACACACACACACACACACACACACACGTAAAATTGGCCTGGCACAATGGCTCACACCCATAATCCCAACACTTTGGGAGACCAAGGTGGGCAGATTGCTTGAGCCCAGGAGTTTAAGACAATCCTGGGCAACATAGCGAAACCCTATCTCTACAAAAAAATAGAGAAATTGGCCAGGTGTGGTGTCAGGCATCTGTGGTCCCAGCTACTCGAGAATCTGAGGCACGAGGATCTCTTGATCCCAGGAGGTGGAGGTTGCAGTAAGTGGGTATCACACCACTGCATCCCAGCCTGGACAACAGAGCAAGACCCTGTCTCAAAAAAATAAAGATTTAAAAAAATATACATATATATATATATATCATAAAATAAAACCTGCTACCCCTAGGATACCAATCCTGACTCCCAGGCCACAGCACTCACTCTAGTGTCTGAACATAGTAGCGGGCATCTGAATCACCCACCTTGGCACAATGCATGGATTTAGATTGTTTTTTAACCTATTCATGTAGGCATTCCTCAACCAGAAGCTACTTCGTAGCTGGGTCTAGGTGGGACAGTTTGTTTCTGCCCCTCAAAGCATGTAAGACAATGCTCGACCAAAAAAAGGCATTCGGTAAACACTTGGGAATTGTTTTATGTTCCGTAGCCTGATTATCCAAAGTCTATCTGTCAGTATTGGTTCTACGACTCAGCTCAGCCTTGAAGACAGGCACATCAGTGCCCTCCCCTGTGAGCCAGGGCTCAAAAGACACCTGACAACACTGAGTATTAGGGAGATGGTGAGATGACAACCACAATAGACTGTGCATCAGATTGAATCTACGTGAAGGGGAAGAAAGCTTGAGCTCATCCTGCAGCAGATAAAGGAGGAAAGCAAGCATGAGGCATGTGGCCATCTACCCACCAATGGGACAATTCTATAGGAATGTCTGGGAGAGTTGTTGTCAGCAGAATTAAGAGGACCTGATCACACCAGGATGACGTTCCTGTTGAGCCACTGGAGAAAACCTCTAAACATAAAATATTCAACTCAGGTTCTCTGTCAGTTTGGAGACTGGAGGGGATCCCTCAAAGTTGTCTGAGGGCTAGACCATCTGGGTATGAGTCCTGCATCAGGAACCATTCATCCTAGCTCACTGGAGAGGGATTGAGTTTTCTAGTAGAATTTAATCAAAACTGTAAAGTCCTCCTTGCACATGCATTTACTGAAGAGCACGGCCCCTCTTGGTGTGTTGTTAAAATAAGATACAGAACCTAAAATGTAAAGGCTTCAGAACACAGACCCAGTGCAGTCCCATTCTATGTTACCTCAGGATCACAGGAACCCCTGAGGTACAGGAATAAAGGAATATGAGGTTGTGTGTTCAGGAATAAAGGAATATGAGGACACACATCCATATGTGTACACCTGTGCAGATGTAGCTTTTGCACATGTAAGGATACACAAGTATCTCCACATATGCATAGCAGGCATGTCTATCTGCTACATGTATGAACACCTGCAAGTAATCCTGCAGCTTCTCTGCTACCCCCAAAAGGGAAAAACCTACCGTAGCAACTGCTCTGCCCACCCTGACAGCGCCAAAGTCATTAGGGTCCAAGTACTTGTTACTGTAGAAGTAGATGCCAGAGGCAGCAAGAGCCATGCTGGTCCACGAAGCAAGCTTGAGAGCCTTTCTGGCCATGTCGCCAGATCCTGCAGAAAAAAGGAAAGTTGAGAAAGAATAGCAGTTAAAAGTTTCATAGTTAGTCAAACTGAAGTTCAAATCCCAGCTCTACCACTTAGATTATATGACCTTGGATCATTAATCTCACTGAGCCTTAGTTTCTTCGTTTGTAAAACAGGATAATACCTACCTCAAAAGTAGTTGGGATAAAATGAAATAATGTACATAAAATCCTTAGCATAGTACCTGGGGCAAGTCAGTCCTCAAAGTCCTTCCTTCAACAGTGCCAGGCACTGTTCTAGACATGGGGAAAGACAGTGAACAAAACAAAGTTCTTGCCCACTTGGAGCTTACACAGATAGATCACTATAGAATATCAGAGCTGGTATAAATGCTGACAAGAAAAGCAGAGAGAGGCTGAGCATGGTGGCTTATGTCTGTAATACCAACACTTTAGGAGGCCAAGGTGTGCAGATCACTCGAGTCCAGGAGTTCCAGACCAGCCTGGGCAACAAGACGAAACCCCGTCTCTACGAAAAATACAAAAATTAGCCAGGCATCATGGCACGTGCCTGTGGTCCCAGCTACTCAGGAGGCTGAGGTGGGAGGATGGTTTGAGCCCGGGAGGAGGAGACTGCAGTGAGCTGAGATCGTGCCACCACACTCCAGCCTGGGTGACAGAGCCAGACCCTGTCTCAAAAAAAAGCAGAGAGGGCTAAGGGATCAGGAGAGAGGAAGAATGTTATTTTAGAAGCAAAGCAGAAGAGCAGGTTAACCATTGCTACTGTGTCTATCATGATACCACAATGCACATACAGGCATCACTAGCCCACTACACTCAGGTCAAAAGTGGTCAGGCCACAGCCAAAATGGCGGCTACTCAGGAGCAGCCAGGTGAGCCCTCTGTGTATGGTTGATTTTCAAAACATTTACTTTGGTTAGAGAAGACTACCCCTTGAGGCCCAGCGTGGTGGCTCACGCCTGTAATCCCAGCACTTTGGGAGGCCAAGGCGGGCAGATCACAAGGTCAGGAGATCAAGACCATCCTGGCTAACACGATGAAACCCCGTCTCTACTAAAAAAAAAACAAAAAATTAGCCAGGCGTGGTGGCGGGCGCCTGTAGTCCCAGCTACTCGGGAGGCTAAGGCAGGAGAATGGCGTGAACCCGGAAGGCGGAGCTTGCAGTAAGCCGAGATTGCGCCACTGCACTCCAGCCTGGGTGACAGAGCGAGACTCCGTCTCAAAAAAAAAAAAAAGAAGACTACCCCTTGTCTTGAATGGAGGCTCCTTGAGGGCAGACACTATGACTGTCACTACTCTGCCCACTCACAGTCCTGTGGAGTTTTTTACAGTTAGAGGCTTAATGCCTACCTGCTGATTTGATCTGTTCAAATTCATACTCCTGGTCAATGTGACCTTTCCCCACCCTACTTGTACCTGCTCAGTCCACCAGGTGGCTGCACAGTCACTCTTTGCGGCCAGTGCACCCAACAGAGTGCTTCCCCTTCAATTCCTGAGCAATTTATGTCAGACTAAAGTCCATGACCACAGCTGCAGCTGCCAGGAGAGAAGTGCCACACGAGAGCAGCAGCACGCCACCAAGCCACTTGCAGGCACCAGCCTTGCACGCCTTGTACCCTCATCCCTCTGCTCTGGAATGAGTCTGTGCCTGTCACCTCCCTGCTCTGTGCCTGTTTCCCCTTTGTATGGAAACTATTATTACAAACAAGCTTATCTTCATTTTATTTGTCTCTGAAACAGGGTCTTGCTCTGTCGCCCAGGCGGGAGTGCAGTGCCGCGATCTCGGCTCACTGCAACCTCCGCCTGCCAGGTTGGAGCGTTTCTCCTGCCTCAGCCTCCCGAGTAGCTGGGATTACAGGTGGCCACCACCATGCCCAGCTAATTTTTGTATTTTTAGTAAAGACAGGGTTTTGCCATGTTGCCTAGCCTGGTCTCAAACTCCTGACCTCAGGCGATCCGCCTGCCTCAGCCTCCCAAAGTGCTGGGATTACAGGTGTGAGCCACCACGCCCTACTCATTTTCTTTAAAGTCTACTTTGACTTATGCCTTATAATATAGCCACATTTTTTAAATATATATATATATATATATATTTACCATCTACTACCTGGAGATGGTGTCAGATCCCATGGGTTGAGGGCCCAGTCCCCAAGACTGCATCCCCCACTTCCCCCCACAACATCAGTCACAAGTCCAGGTCTCTGGAACTTCTGACCAACCAGCTTCAAGCTGGGGTTCCCACAACCCCTTCTTTGGGTTCGATCAAGCTGCTGCAGCAACTCACAGAACTCAGGTACACACTTACGTTTGCTGGCTTATTATAAAGGAGACTGCAAAAAATACTGATTAACAGATGTGCAGGGTCAGTTAACAGCGAAAGGGCGTGAAGCTTCCAGGACTTCCCTAGGCGCACCACACTCCGCAAATCTCCAAGTGCTCAGCTATCAGCCCTCTTGGGTTCTTGGGTTTTTATGGAAGCTTCATGATATCAGCATTCCTTCCCTCAGTGTATAGGGCAGAACCTACTCTAGGGAGGGTTAAGATCCACAATCAGAAAGGTGGGGAAAGACCACGATCCTGCCTTGGGGCAGGTGAGAGGAGGGCAGGAAAGAGATTCTGATTCCTAAGGCCTGGCCCTGAGGCCTAACACACACCAAAAAAAACCGTAACAAGGGCTGTGGGAGTTATGAACCAAGAACAGCAGACAAAAACCAATATATATAATAACACCACAATAGTCCTTTTTTATAATTCCATTGCTCTTCCCTTTGGAACCTTCATTTCCTAATCTAGTATTTCTAAAGTATAATCAGAGGAACACCTGAAAAAATATTAGCCTGGATGCCATTTCAAAAATGCAGATTCCTGGGCCAAGAGAGGTAGCTCACGCCTGTAATTCCAGCACTCTGGGAGGACCAGGCAGGCGGATCTCTTGAGGTTAGGAGTTCCAGACCAGCCTGGCCAACATGGTGAAACCCCATCTCTATTAACATTAGCTGGGTGTGGTAGTACACACCTGTAGTCCCAGCTACTTGGGAGGCTAAGACATGAGAATCACTTGAACCCAGGAGGTGGAGGTCGCAGTGAGCTGAGATCGCACCACTGCACTCCAGCTTGGGCAACAGAACGAGACTCCATCTCAAAAAAAAAAAAAAAAAAGCCAGGTGCGGTGGCTCACACCTGTAATCCCAACACTTTGGGAGGCCAAGGCAGGCAGATCACGAGGTCACGAGTTCAAGACCAGCCTGGCCAATATGCTGAAACCTTGTCTCTACTAAAAATACAAAAATTAGCCAGGCATGGTGGTGTGCACCTGTAGTCCCAGCTACTCGGGAGGCAGGGGCAGGAGAATCACTTAACCCAGGAGGCGGAGGTTGCAGTGAACTGAGATTATGCCACTGCACTCCAGTCTGGGCCACAGAAAGAGACTCCATCTCAAAAAAAAAAAAAAAAATGCAGGTGCCTGGCTGGGGGCAGTGACTCATGCCTATAATCCCAGCACTTCCGGAGGCCACAATGGGAGGACTGTTTGGGCCTAGGAGTTCAAGACCAGCCTGGGGAAGAAAAAAGGGAGACCCCATCTCTACAAAAAATTTAAACATTAGCCTGGAGTGATAGCCTACGCCTATAAGTCCCAGCTACTCAAAATGCTGAAGTGGGAGGATCCCTTGAGCCTAGGAGGTCTCGAGGCTGAAATGAGCCATGATCACGCCACTGCATTCTAGCCTGGGCAACACAGTAAAACCCTGTTTTAAAGAAAAAAAAAAAAAAAAAAGACAAAACAAAATTTTAAAACATTTTTTAAAATGTAGATTCCTGGGCCAGGCTTGGTGGGAGGCCAAGGCAGGAAGGTCAAGAATGCCAGACCAGCCTAACCAACATGGTGAAACCCCGTCTCTACTAAAAAAAAAAAAAAAAATTAGCTGGGCGTGGTGTCACGTGCCTCTGTAATCCCAGCTACTCGGGAGGCTGATGCAAGAGAATTGCTTGAACCCAGGTGGTAGAAGTTGCAGTGAGCTGAGATGGTGCCACTGCACTCCAGCCTGGGCGACAGAGACTCCTTCTCAAAAAAAAAAAAATTTTTTTTTAATTTTTTTAGTAAAATAAAATAAATAAATGTAGATTCCTAGAGTCCACCCCATGGGCCACCGAACTACCAACTCTAGGGGTAAGATTCAAGAATGTGCATTTTAATAAGATAACAAGTGATTTGTCTGAAAGCTCAAGTTTGAGAGCCACACTTCTATTTTTCTTCTTTTTTTTTTTTTTTTTTTTTTTTGAGAGTGTCTTGCTCTGTCACCCAGGCTGGAATGCAATGGCACAATCTCAACTTACTGCAGCCTTGACCTCCTGGGTTCAAGCAATCCTCCCATCTCAGCCTCCGGAGTGGGCTAATTTTTGTTGTAAAGATGGGGTTTCGCCATTTGCTCAGGCTGGTCTCCAACTCCTGAGCTCAAGCGATCCACCCACCTTGGCCTCCCAAAGTGCTGAGATTACAGATGTGAGCTACCATGCTCAGAAAGGATTTTTGTTTTTTGTTTTTTTTTTCAGTAAAGAGAGGCTTCATTGTCTACCAATGGGTCAGAAAAAAAAAGGGGTCAGGTGCAGTGGCTCACACCTGTAATCCCAGCACTTTGGGAAGCCAAGATGTGAGGATCATTTGAGCCCAGAAGTTCAAGACCAGCCTAGGCAACATAGCGAAACCCCATCGCTACAAAAAATACAAAAATCAGCTGGGTGTGGTGGCATGCACCTGTTGTCCTAGCTACTTGGGAGGCTGAGGTGGGAGGATCACTTGAGCCTGGGAGGCAAAGGTTGCAGTGAGCTGAGATTGCGCCACTGCACCCCAGCCTCAATGACAGAGTGAGACCCTGTCTCAGAAAAATAAAATTTAAAAAAAAAAATAAGGCTCGGCGTGGTGGCTCACACCTGTAATCCCAGCACTTTGGGAGGCCGAGGCAGGCGGATCACCTGAGGTCAGGAGTTTGAGACCAGCCTTGCCAACATGGCAAAACCCTGTCTCTACTAAAAATACAAAAGTTAGCCGGGTGTTGTGGCATGCATCTTTAGTTTCAGCTACTCAAGAGGCTGTGGCAGGAAAACCACTTGAACAGGAGGTAGAGGTTGCAGTGAGCCGAGATTGCACCACTGCGCACTACAGCGTGGGTGACAGCATGAGACTCCTCAAAAAAAAAACAAAAAAAAAACAGGAAAACAAAGAGAGGCTTTGCTGAAATTTAGTGTTCAACTTCATCAGTGAATATTCCCCAAAAACATGCCTCCCCTTCCCCAACACCAGAGGACTGTATTCACTCTACAAGGGTAACTGCAAGCAACGATTTTTAAGGAAATAATTTAAGAAACTCAGGCTGGGCACGTGGCTCATGCCTGTAATCCCAGCACTTTGGGACGCCAAGGCGGGCAGATCACAAGGTCAGGAGTTTGAGACCAGCCTGGCCAACATGGTGAAACCCCATCTCTACTAAAAATACAAAAATTAGCTGGGCGTAGTGATGCACGCCTATAGTCCCAGCCACTCGGAAGGCTGAGGCAGGAGAATTGCTTGAACCCAGGAGACGGAGGTTGCAGTGAGCTGAGACCATGCCATTGCACTCCAGCCTGGGCAACAAGAACACAACTCCATCTCCAAAAAAATAATAATAATAAAATAAAAGGCCAGCACAGTGGCTCACGCCTATAATCCCAGTACTTTGGGAGGCCGAGGCAGGTGGATCACCTGAGGTCGGGAGTTCAAGACCAGACTGACCAACACGGAGAAACCCAGTCTCTAGTAAAAATACAAAATTAGCCAGGCATGGTGGCGCATGCCTATAATCCCAGCTACTAAGGAGGCTGAGGCAGGAAAATTGCTTGAACCCGGGAGGTGGAGGTTGCAGTGAGCTAAGATCACACCATTGCACTCCAGCCTGGGCAACAAGAGTGAAACTTCGCCTCAAAAAAAAAATTTTAAGAAACTCACTTATTTCTTTCCCTAAACAGAAATGCTCAATCTCTCCCAACTCCTGGGATCAGTTCCTACCTCTGCAAGAATGAGATTGTGACTTTGTAAATAAAAAGAATATGCAGCCGGGCATGGTGACTCATATCTGTAACCCCAGCACTTTGGGAGGCCGAGGCGGGCAGATCACTTGAGCCCAGGAGTTCGAGACTAGCCTGGCCAACATGGCAAAACCCTATCTCTACTAAAAATACAAAAACTAGCCAGGCATGGTGGCTCACTCCTGTAATTCCAGCTACTCAGGTGGCTAAAGCACGAGAATTGCTTGAACCCAGGAGGCAGAAGTTGCAGTGAGCTAAGATCACGCTACTGCACTCCAGCCTGGTCAAAAGAATGAAACTCTGTCTCAAAAAAAAGAATATGCAGTAGTATGCACAATAGCCAAGATGTAGAAACAACCTAAGTGTCCATCCACAAATGGATGAAGAAATTGTGAAATATATATATATACACACACACACTATGGAATATTATCCAGCCATAAAAAGGAAGGAAGCCTGCCATTGGTGACAACATGGATGAACCTAGAGAACATTTTGCTAAGTGAAATAAGCCAGACACAGAAAGACAAATACTGCATGATCTCACTCTTAGGTGGAATCTAAAGAAGTCAAACTCTTAGAGGCAGAGGTTAGAACGGTGGTTACCAGGGGCTGGGGGTTGGAGGGAAATTAGGCGATATTGGTCAAAGGGTACAAAGTTTCAGTTACAAGATGAATAAGTTCTGGGGACTCTAATGTACAACATGGAAACTCTAGTTAATACTACTGTATTGTTTACTTGAAATTTGCTGAGAGAGCAGATCTTAAGTGTCCTCACCACACACACACAAAAGGGTAACTATCTGAGGTGATGGATATGTTGATTGATTGTGGTAATCATTACACAGTACACATATATCAAATCATCAAGTTGTACACCTTGAATAGATACAATTATTTGTCAATTACACCTCAATAAAGCTGGAAAATAATAAATTAAAAGAATAAATTAAAACCTTGCTTTCTAGCATGCTCTTTATTTCCTTGATATTTCTCTTTATTTTATGAAAATTTCCCTGTCCCCATTTTATTATGCCAATATTTTAATAAGCCAAGGATTATTTTTGGGTGTTATCATTGTTTTTCTTGCTGTTGTTGTTGTTGTTGAGACAGGGGTTTACTCTGCCACTCAGGCTGGAGTACAGTGGTGCAATCACAGCTCACCGCAGCCTCAACCTCCTGGGCTCAGGCAATCCTCCCACCTCAGCCTCCCAAGTAGCTGGGACCATAGGCACAAACCACCATGTCTGGCTAATATTGTTTTGTATCAATTTTGTAGTGACAGGGTCTCTCTATGTTGCTCAAGTTGGTCTTGAACTCCTGGACTCAATCTTCCCACCTCGGTCTCCCAAAGTGCTGGGATTACAGGCGTTGAGCCACTGCACCTAGGCAAGGATTCTTTCTGGACAGGAGAGTGTACTGACGGAGATCATGAACTCTGGAGTCCAATCAGCCCAGGTTTGAGTCCTGGCATGGCCACTTATGAACTGGGTGACCATAGGCAAGCTGCTAAATCTCTCTGAACCTCATGATCTCGTCCATACACAAAGGGGATAACAGCAATACCTGCTTGATGGAGTGGTGGGAAATGAGATAAATCATGTAAAATGCTTAGCAAGGTGCCACCTACACAGTAAGAACTCAAGAGTGGCAGATGCTATTATCCTCCATTATTAGCATTAGTATTATTATCATTATTATTATCTCCTCACCCAGTGCCAGGCTTTAACAAATGCTCCCCTGCCTATCAGCTCCCAGAGGAATTCTGCACACCCTACTTCCAACATTCTAGGTGGCCCCCACTTAACCCTACCCTTTCTCCTTGCTCTCTACACCCTCAGCCTGGAGTATTTTCTGCTGAAAGGGGCAACAGACTCACCCTCTACTTTGTTTCCACCGAGACACAGGTCCCTAATCAGATCCAGAAACCGACCTTAAATTAGACTGAGTGACTTAAGCTCCTTACACAGCTTCCTTCTTCAGTCAAGATCATGAGAGTGATCCAGGGACCCTTCCTGTGGGCATCCAGAGAAGCCCACATTAGGAAGGCAGTATGAAGAGACCGTGGGTAAAGAACCCAGCCTTGCCGGGCACGGAGGCTCACGCCTGTAATCCCAGCACTTTGGGAGGCTGAGGCAGGCAAATCATGAGGTCAGAAGATCGAGACCATCCTGGCTAACACGGTGAAACCCCGTCTCTACTAAAAATACAAACAAATTAGCCAGGCGTGATGGGGGGCGCCTGTAGTCCCAGCTACTCGGGAGGCTGAGGTAGGAAAATGGCGTGAACCCGGGAGGCATAGCTTGCAGTGAGCTGAAATCGTGCCACTGCACTCCAGCCTGGGAGACAGAGCGAGACTCCGTCTCAAAAAAAAAAAAAAAAAGAACCCAGCCTCTGAACACCTTGAGTAAGTCACAACTCCTTGCAGCTTCTGCATAATTATCTATGAAGGGGAGCTCTTGAGAGTACCCACCTTCTAGGCTCATTGTAAGAATTAACTGGCCAGGCGTGGTGGCTCATGCCATTAAGCCCAGCACTTTGGGAGGCCAAGGTGGGAAGGTTGCTTGAGTCCAGGAGTTCAAGACTAGCCTGAAGAACACAGCAAGACCTCATCTCTACAAACAATAAAAAAGTTAGCTGGGCATGGTGGTGTGTCCCTGAACTCCCAGCTACTCAGGAGGCTGAGGTAGGAGGATCACTTGAGCCTGGAAGGTCGAGGCTGCAGTGAGTGTAGTGGTGAGTGCCATCGCACTTACCCTAGGCAACAGAGCAAGACTCAAGAAAAAAAAAAGTAATTAACTGAATACTACTTTAAGGCAATGCCTGACATACCCAGTAAATAAGACTCTCTTGTAATTTTTTTTTTTTTTTTTTTTTGAGACAGAGTCTCACTCTGTCACCCAGGCTGGAGTCCATTGGTATGATCTCGGCTCACTGCAGCCTCCGCCTCCTGGGCTCAAGTGATTCTCCTGCCTCAGCCTCCTGAGTAGCTGGGACGAAAGGCAGGTGCCACCACGCCCGGCTAAATTTTTTTGTATTTTTATTAGAGAAGAGGTTTCACCATGTTGGTCAGGCTGGTCTCGAACTCCTGGCCTCAGGTGATACTCCCACCTTGGCCTCCCAAAGTGCTGGGATTACAGGCCTGAACCACCACACCCAGCCTCTCTTGTGATTTTAAACCTCATTTATTTGTTACTGAAAAGTCAAAAGTCAAAGAGCTTATGAAAAACTCCTAGCACCTAAGGAACCAGGATTTGGCATAACGTCAAATAATTAATAAACAGGGAGGCCAGGCACAGTGGCTCACGCCTGTAATCCCAGCACTTTGGGAGGCCAGCAGGCAGATCACCTGAGGTCAGGAGTTCAAGACCAGCCTGGCCAACATGATGAAATGCTGTCTCTACTAAAAATGCAAAAATTAGCCAGGCGTGGTGGTGGACGTCTGTAATCCCAGCTACTCAAGAGGCTGAGGCAAGAGAATCGCTTGAACCCGGGAGGCGGTAATTGTAGTGAGCCAAGGTCACGCCATTGCACTCCAGCCTGGGCAACAAGAGCCAAACTCCATCTCAAAAAATTTTTTGTATTAAAAAATAAAACATAAACAGGGGAAGTAGGCCATCATATCTTGCCTGAACTACTCAACCATTCTCCATTCCAAACTGACTTCTCCACATCCCATCTAATCTTTACTCTGCCACTCAAGTTATCTTGGTCATCCTCAAGTGTATTCATACCATTCTTATCACCTCTCCACCTACCACAAAGCCCAAACTCCTTGCAAGACACTCAAGGCCCACCAAATTCTTACCCCAACTTGCCTTTCCAGCCTTTTTCTCCCAAAATATACCTCCACACTCAATCCCTCATTATCCTTCCATGAAGCTTCTTGTGAGCCAATCACTCAGAATTCCTCATTCATTCCTCACTAGTCTAATTATATACTGCTTTTATGGATAATGATTGGGTCTTATATCTGCCCTCTCCACTAGATCCAAAAGGAAGACTCTGTTAACAAATAAATGAATAAATAACTGCAGTGGGCCAGGTGCAGTGGCTCACGCCTGTAATCCCAACACTTTGGGAGGCCAAGGCGGGTGGATCACCTGAGGTCAGGAGTTCAAGACAAGCCTGGCCAGCATGGTGAAACTCCGTCTCTACTAAAAATACAAAAATTAACCAGGCGTGGTAGTGGGCGCCTGTAATCCCAGCTACTCGGGAGGCTTAGGCAGGAGAATCACTTGAACCCAGGAGGCAGAGGTTGCAGTGAGCTGAGATCACGCCATTGCACTCCAGCCTGGGCAACAAGAACGAAACCCTGTCTCAAAATAAATTAATAAATAAATAAATGTAGTGGATGTCTATAATTTTATGTTGCCTTGGCATCCATTTTGAACATAGTTTTAACTTTCTAAGGCCAGAGGCATGTTAAACCCTTGACAGTTTCAGTTCTCTACCTCCTCCCAGTTCCTCAATGTGATTGATCCAGAAATCTGCCTTAGACAATGCCTCCTGGTGACCACCCCACTATGGGACAGCTACCTACAGCCTACTTTAATCACCCCATCAACCTGCACACCCACCATGGACTGTGCAGATATACCACAGTGACCACCCCTCAGTCACTGTGTGACTCCACGGAACTCATGCCTGCTTATTGTAAACCCACCAATTAGAACTCCCCATGAGAAATCTGCCTGGCTTAACACTCTTGACCCCAAAAAAGGCTTTGGTGCACAGGTCTCCTCTCTTGATCTCTCTCTCCTCGCTCCCACCCACCTGCTGGTTGAACTCCATGCTGTCTCCAGGCTTCCTATCCACCCTCATGGGCACCCTTTTCTCCAGTGGATCTGTCAGGAAAGGCTTCTGTTATTTCGTATGTTTTGTTGTGCTGCCTGTGTCTGTGTTTCACTTGACCAACACACCTGAAGCCAATTCCTGTCTTGGTCAGGTCTCTCTTAGAGAGTGACTCTCAGGCCAGGAGTGGTGGCTCATGCCTGTAATCCCAGCACTTTGAGAGGCTGAGACGGGTGGATCACTTGAGGTCAGGAGTTCAAGACCAGACTGGCCAACATGGGAAAACCTCATCTCTACTAAAAATACAAAAATTGCCGGGCATGGTGGTTCACGCCTATAATCCCAGCACTTTGGGAAGCCGAGGTAGGTGGATCACCTGAGATCGGGAGTTCAAGACCAGCCTGACCAACATGGAGAAACCCCATCTCTACTAAAAATACAAAATTAGCCGGGCGTGGTGGCACATGCCTGTAATCCCAGCTACTCGGGAGGCTGAGGCAGGAGAACTGCCTGAACCCCAGAGGCGGAGATTGCAGTGAGCCAAGATCATGCCACCACACTCCAGCCTGGGCAACAAGGGCGAAACTCCATCTCAAAAAAAAAAAAAAAAAATTAGCTGGGCGTGGTGGCGCACGGCTGTAATCCCAGCTACTTAGGAGGCTGAGGCAGGAGAATCACTTGAACCTGGGAGGTGGAGGTTGCAGTGAACCAAGATCACACCAACCTGGGCAACAGAGTAAGACTCTGTCTCCAGGCCGGGCGCGGTGGCTCACGCCTGTAGTCCCAGCACTTTGGGAGGCCGAGGCGGGCGGATCACGAGGTCAGGAGATCGAGACCATCCCGGCTAACATGGTGAAACCCCGTCTCTACTAAAAATACAAAAAATTAACCGGGCGTGGTGGCGGGCGCCTGTAGTCCCAGCTACTTGGGAGGCTGAGGCAGGAGAATGGCGTGGACCCGGGAGGCGGAGCTTGCAGTGAGCCGAGATCCCGCCACTGCACTCCAGCCTGGGCGACAGAGCGAGACTCCGTCTCAAAAAAAAAAAAAAAAAAAGACTCTGTCTCCAAAAAAAAAAAAAAAAAGAGAGAGAGAGAGTGGCTATCTTAGGCCGGGCGCAGTGGCTCATGCCTGTAATCCCAACGCTTTGGGAGGCTGAGACGGCTGGATCATTTGAGGTCAGGAGTTCAAGACCAGCTCAGGCAACATGGTGAAACACCATCTCTCCTAAAAATACAAAAATTAGCTGGGTGTGATGGCATGCACCTGTAGTCCCAGCTACTCAGGAGGCTGAGGCACAAGAATCACTTGAACCCAGGAGAAGGAGGTTGCAGTGAGCTGGGACCATGCCACTGCACTCCAGCCTGGGTGACAAAGCGATACTCTGTCTAAAAAAAGAGTGGCTATCTTGGTGGGAATAACCTGGACACAGGTCAGATGAGCCACAGGGCGTCTGCCAGTTTAAACAAGTTTACTGTGGGAGAGACACCTAGGCACAAGTCAGACACAGGCATTAGGCTGTCCAGCAGGATAAAGAAGAACTCCACGAAAGGCACACTGAAAAAGTCCATGACCAAAGCCCTTGGATTCCAGGCAAGGCAGAGCTAGATCTCTCTGGAGAGAGACCTCAAGACCAAATTAAAAGCAAATACAACAATACCACTGATAATTGAAACCACCTTCACAAAATTATGAGAGTAAGAAAATTTGCCGTAGTTGACTCCATCTTGCTTCTGACTTCCAACCTGTCCTTGCTCACTCCTGGGTATAGACCAAGCTAACTTTGGGAGGAATATAGTTTATAGTTTAATTTGAAAGCAAGGATGATAACCATCCCTCCATAAAACTAATCCCTCTTGCTCAGAGACCTAAAACCACCTTTGTAAAACTAACAAGGCCAGGTGCAGCGAGTGCTCACACCTGTAATCCCAACACTTTGGGAGGCTGAGGTGGGAAGACCGCTTGAGCTCAGGAGTCCAGACCAGCCGGGGCAACATAGAGAGACCTCATCTCTCAAACTCCTGACCTCGAGCAATCCGCCCACCTCAGCCTCCCAGAGTGCTGGGATTACAGATGTGAGCCACCGCACCCAGCAACAAGACCTCATCACTTTAAAAAAAAAAAAAAAAAAAAAAAGCCGTAAGAATAGGATTATGGGAGGAACCAGAACTCTGCTAAAATGTAGCATAGTTTCTATAATCCCTTACTGCTCAGGAGTCACGTGATCAGAGGTCACAAGATTTGTGACTTTCCTAATTGTTCCCATAGAATATATAAACATCACTATTGTAGAACCTAAGATTGGGAGGTTTTTTGAGATTTTTTTCAGACTGAGCCCCCTGGACAAGTTCTTACATGGTCTAACTCTCAATTCCCTCTAGGGTCTCATGCCCTACCACTTTCCCCTTCACTCGTTCTACTCCAAACGCACTGGCCTCTGTGCCATTCCTCAAACATGCCAGGCATATTCTGACCTCCCAGAGCTTTTGCACTTGCTGTTCTCTGTCTAGAACAGAGGTTGACAAATATTTTTCTATAAAGAGCCATATAAGAGTAATTTTTGGGCCAGCACAGTGGCTCACGCCTGTAATCCCAACACTTTAGGAGGCCGAGGCAGGTGGATCACTTGAGGTTAGGGGTTTGAAACCAGCCTGGCCAATGTGGTGAAGCCCTGTCTCTACTAAAAATACAAAAATTAGCCAAGTGTGGTGGCAGGTGCCTGTAATCCCAGTTACTCGGGAGGCTGAGGCAGGAGAATCACTTGAACCCAGGTGGCGGAGGTTGCGGTGAGCCAAGATCGTGCCACTACACTCCAGCCTGGGCAACAGGGCAAGACTCTGTCTCAAAAAAAAAAAAAAAAAAAAAAAAAAAGAATGCAAAGCCAAAAATGACTCTTTTTTTTTTTTTTTTTTTAAATGAGACAGAGTCTCACTCTTGTTGCCCAGGCTGGAGTGCAGTGGTGCAATCTCGGCTCACCACAACCTCCGCCTCCAGGGTTCAAGCGATTCTCCTGCCTCAGCCTCCCAAGTAGCTGGGATTGCAGGCATGCGCCACCACGTCCGGCTAATTTTGTATTTTTAGTAGAGACAGGGTTTCTCCATGTTGGTCAGGCTGGTCTCAAACTCCCAACCTCAGGTGATCCGCCTACCCCAGCCTCCCAAAGTGCTGGGATGACAAGCGTGAGCCACCGTGCCCAGCCTTGGCTTTGCATTCTATAACATCTCTGACGCATCTACTCAACTCTGCATTGTGGCACAAGGCAAACACAGAGGATGTATAAAGTAATAGGTGTGGCCAGAATTGAACCTCAGGCTGTCATTTGCCAAACCCTGGCCTAGCACATAGGGGGCGCTCCAAAAGCATTTACTGAACGAATGAATCAATGAATGGACAAACTACAGCCAGTGAGGCCTGAGACCTGTGCAGAGCAAGGAACAATGCAGGTCCCCAGGTGAAAACCACATGCCCTGGGCTGACAATTCATCACCAACACCCCATCCCACCCCAACACCACCTCCCAGCCCCTGCCTCCCCTGAACCCCCTCTTCCTGTTACACCAACCTCCACACCTGTCCCCTGTATGCAATGAGGCCACCCCTACCCTTGAGACCACCTCTGGGTGGGAAGTAACAGCGAAGCAGACACAACTCTCGAAACCCTGTTTTCGTGCAAATGTCCTCAGTGATAAAAGAGATGGAAATTGAAATACATAAAATAGATGATACAGGAGCCGAATGGCATCTAAATAGACTGGAGCTAGAGTTTTCCATAAGGTGTCCCTGAGTCTTTAACATGCAAATGAGTTGCTTCCCTCGGGGTATTGTAAAAGACCCTGTCAGGCGTGAAATATGTCTGTCAATTGAAAACATTTTTCCTTATTAAACCCTTTGTTAATGAATCACCTGCCCTGTTCTGCTTACTAGCCTTTTTGACTTTCACCTGAGTCACCTCTCCTAACAGTACATACCTTACAGGGGGTCTGAGGCCACCAAAACCCTTAAACCTAATCACTAGATAATAACACTAGCAAGAACTAGCCTTTATATTAAAATAGAGCCCTTTACACTCAACTCATTAGATATTCCACACAACCCAGTGAGGAGAGACAAATATTATTACCATCCCCAGGTATAAATGAGGAAACCAAGGAGCAGAGAGGGTGAGAGATTTGTCCCAGGTGGCTCAGCTAGTAAAATGGCTAAGAGCTTGAGCAGGGCCTTCCCACTCATTCCAAGTATTCAGCCCTTCTCTTTATGACAGGTAACGTCTTTGATAGGAACACCTGGACTCCTGTTCACTAAAGTCCTTACTGCTGTTCTCAAGTAAATGCAACTGTTGCTGTGGGCAGAGACTATGATTTCTGACCCAGTGCCAGGCATGTGGGAGGCACTGTTTGGAGCCCCCAAAATCAACAGGATGTCACAAGATCAACCAATGCCTCCCACTAGAAACAAGCCATTTCAGTCTATCAAATGTTTAGGAGAGCTGCAAAGCTGACATGGCTGTTTTATTGTCAAATCAATGACAAGAATGGAATCCATCTCGCTGGACCACAGGAAACACCCCAGTAGGTTATGAAAATGAAGCAACAGGAGAGTCTGGGACGTACAAATGGGAAGCTGATGGTCACACGAAATGTCCGTCCCCTTGACAGAACTAAATGGGAAACCAAGCACTTACTGTTCATCGGAGTCAGTGACTAGCTAGGCCTTTTCAGTTTCCATCCATTGGCAGCCCTCTCCCTATGCTACATTTCAGGACTAAAGGCCTGGAATCACCTTTCCCTGTTTGGTGCACAAATGAGAATTACCACAGAGAAAAGGCACTTAGGTCTCTAGTTCCATGAAAAGTGACCATGGCCTCCTCCCATTTCCTAGAGAGACTATTATACCAATGAGCATTATTTCTTCTAGTCTGCCCCCAAAACTGAAAAAAGACCCAAAAATACCCTTGGAGAGAGTGATAGGGTCTTCAGAAGAACCTGGTCCCTGATATGGATAGAAAGCACACAAAGTGAATGATACCATCATGCCTCAAGTCTGGAAAGATGCCAAAGACACCAAGTCAATAGCAAGGGACTGTGTGAAGTTGGCCTGAGCAGGTTTACAGTCTGCCCTCCCTAAGATAGTAATGTAGTCCAGGAACCAAATTGTATTTATTTATTTATTTTGAGATGAAGTCTCATTCTGTCGCCCAGGCTGGAGTGCAGTGGCGCAATCTCGGCTCACTGCAAGCTCCGCCTCCCGGGTTCCAGCCATTCTCCTGCCTCAGCCTCCTGAGTAGCTGGGACTACAGGCACCCGGCACCACGCCCAGCTAATTTTTTTGTATTTTTTTTAGTAGAGACGGTGTTTCACCATGTTAGCCAGGATGGTCTCGATCTCCTGACCTCGTGATCCGCCCGCCTTGGCTTCCCAAAGTGCTGGGATTACAGGCGTGAGCCACCGCGCCCGGCTAGGAACCAAATTTTAATCAAACTCCCTTTCCTAGTGTTTGATGCCTAAGCACTCAAGGTCCTTAAATCAATGTTGATTAAATAAAGGAATCCCGGGAGGCTGAAGCAAGAGAATTGCTGGAACCCGAGAGGCAGAGGCTGCAGTGAGCCAAGATCGTGCCACTGCACTCCAGCCTGGGCGACAGAGCAACACTCTGTCTCAAAAAATAAAAAAAGGAATCCCTGACTGATGCCAAGGTCCCAGAATAGACAACAAAAATAATTCTCACCCAGGCAAGGAATAGAAATCCTCCATTCAGTCCATCCTAGGAAAGGCAGACTGAGGGAGAATAGGGCAAAGCCAGATGCAAAGAGCAAGCAGCAGGTAAGAGAAGAGAGTGAGCTTCCAACGGGAGAGCTACAGTACCAAGCACTTATTAGCTCATTAACTCACACAACCAGATTCCGAGGTGCATGCTATTAGAGCTTCAATCTATGGATAAGGAAGTGGTGTTTTAGAAAAGGTAGAAAACTTGGCCAAGGAGCTGGTAAGTGATGGAGGCAGAACTTGAATCCATGTATGACTGCTCCCACCAAGAGAGCAAAAAGTGCACAAGAACAAGCAGCTTGCTGGGCCCTGAAATAGGCCACTGGAGTCCCTGCAACATGGAAACCTTAACCCAGGAGGCATATTTAGTGAGTTACCCTGGTGAAGAAATGGATGGCTGACCCAACTAAATTTTTTTTTTTTAGACGGAGTCTTGCTCAGTCGCCCAGGCTGGAGTGCAGTGACACGATCTCGGCTCACTGCAGCCTCCGTCTCCCGGGTTCAAGCTGTTCTCCTCCTCAGCCTCCCAAGTAGCTGGGACTACAGGCACACACCACTACGCCCAGGTAATTTTTTTGTATTTTTGGTAGAGATGGGGTTTCACCATGTTGGCCAGGCTGGCATTGAACGCCTGACCTCAAGTGATTCGCCCACCTCAGCCTCCCAAAGTGCTGGGATTACAGGTGTGAGCCACCGCACCCGGCCCCAACTAATATTCTTACAGGTCCTTTGTCTGACAAGAAAATGACTGCATAGCAGAAAGTAAGAATATGCACACTCTTCTAGTACAGATCAAATCGCACATCCCTGAGGCCAGTTGAGAAATGGCCAAGCAAAGAATGACCCAATAAGGTAGAATATGATGTAACCAGGAAAAATGACAAGTATAGACTACATTAAAATCTGTATATAAATTAATATGGAGGGAGTTAACAGTGTACAAAGTAATATGCACATATTTACAATCACCAAAAAAGTAAAACTGGCAAATAAAGACAGAAAGACCCGTAACCAGGTGTGAAGAGATAGTGCTTTAAGTTCACAGGATTTTTTTTCCTATAAAGCAGTGGTACTCAACGTATGGTCCCCAGACCAACAGCAACTGCATCACTTGGGTGCATGTTAGAAACGCCAATTCTTGGTCCTCATACCAGACTTACAGAATCAGAAACTTTGGGGATGGGGTCCAGTACTGTGTGTTGTTACTAGCTCTCCAGGTGACTCTGGTGCATGCTAAAGTTTGAGAACCACTGTAGTAAGAAAATTATTTTATTTATTTTCCTTTTTTTCTTTTAATACAGACGGGAGTCTCACTATGTTGCCCAGCCTGGTGTTGAACTCCTGCCCTCAAGCAATCCTCCCATCTTGGCCTCCCAAAGTGCTGGGATTACAGGCATCAGCCACCACATCCAGCCCCAAGAAAATTATTAAATAAAACATATGAAGCCACAGATAAAGTCTAATTCACTTCAACTCTGCAAATATTTCTTGAGCACCTACTAAGTGCCAAGTATCATGGAGGTAAACAATAAATACTTGTTGAATGACTTTCTTGTTAGTAGAAAGTAAATGCCACTTAACCCTGGGAGAGGGCTGTTCTAGGTGTCTTATCTAAAGGTTGCTCTCCACACACACTGGCTGCTGTTAGCACATATCTACTGTGTGATCTGGAAGCCCAGGGCCCTGCAAGATGCTGGAGATAAGCAGCGGTCTGGGGCACGTTCGCAAGACCGGGTGGAGGGCCAGGATATGGGCATCGCCCCCTGCTCTTGCCCAGACCACGCTCCAGCTCCAGCTGCTTCTGCCTCGGAACTCACAGGGCCACCAGGGGGTGAAGGCGTCTGGGTGAGCCACCTCCGGCCCTCCTCCAGCTCTGCCCACTCGGGTGCCTGCAAGACTGTGCCACTGAAGTGGACAGGTCACATGAAAGCCCACTGGTGTGCCAAACTGGAGAAGTCACTGCAGGGGGGCGGGGCAATGCGAGTCACCCGAGCCACGTGGCCGCGCGCCGGGCCCAGGTGACAAGGTCATGGGGCTGTCCCTCCCGGCGCCCAGGGCGGCTGCACAACCGGAGCAGAGGCCGACTCCCGGCGTGTCCATGCCGGTTCCCTCGCGCTCCAGGCGCGGTGCGGCCCTGCCAGGCTGGTCGGCCCGAGCTCTGCGCCGGCCTCCGGCGAGCTGCCCCTACTCACCCCGAGGGAAGCAGAGCCGCGGCGCCCGGCTTCCGGCCGCAACCCGGTAGCGGGGAATTAGCTGGGAACCGTGCGGGGACAGCCACCTGACTGCGCTTAGTGAAGCCGAGGCGCGCGCGGCCTGCCGGGACTTGTAGTTCCTGGTTCCCCACGCCGCGATCCCGCGGGCAGTACTGTGGAGGCACAGGGGTCTCGGGCTTACTCCGTCAGGTGGCCTTGTTGCTTTGCCAGGGCGACGGACTTGGAATATTACTGAAATATTTTCTTCAAGACATTCTAACTACGTCCCAGGTTCGTGTTTAATGAAAGATGAAGTGGATTTGTAGATTTTTTTTTTTTGAGACTGAGTCTCGCTCTGTCGCCCAAGCAGTACAGCTAATTTTTGTATTTTTTTTAGAGATGGGGTTTCACCATGTTGGCCAAGCCGGTCTCAAACTCCTGACCTCAAATGATCCGCCCGCCCAAAGTGCTGGGATTACAAGAGTGAGCCACTGCGCCCGACCTCGTAGATTTTATTCATTCATTCATTCATTCATTCATTCATTTTGAGACAGAGTCTCACTCTGTCGCCCAAGCTGGAGTGCAGTGGCCCATCTCGCCTCACTGCAACCTCCGCCTCCCGGGTTCAAGTGATTCTCCTGCCTCAGCCTCCTGAGTAGCTGGGATTACAGGAGTGTGCTACCACGCCCTGCTAATTTTTTGTATTTTTAGGAGTGACGGGGTTTCGCCATTTTGCCCAGGCTGGTCTTGAACTCCTGAACTCAGGCAATCCACCCGCCTTGACTTCCCAAAGTGCTGGGATTACAAGCCTGAGCCACCTCACCGGGCCATAGATTTTAAATAAGATATTGGAACTAGTAGGCGAAGAAGAAATTTACTGACAATTGATGTATGCTGGCGGGGCGGTGGCTCACGCCTGTAATCCCAGCAGGCCAAGGCTAGCAGATCACCTGAGGTCGGGAGTTTGAGACCAACCTGACCAACATGGAGAAACCCCGTCCCTACTAATAATAGCAAAAATTAGCCAGGCCTAGTGGTGCATGCCTGTAATCCCAGCTACTCAGGAGGCTGAGGCACTAGAAACCCGGGAGGCAGAAGTTGCGGTGAGCCGAGGTCACGCCATTGCACTCCAGCCTAGGCAACAACAGCGAAACTCCGTCTCAAAAATAATAATAATAATGCTGGCTGGGCAGGACGCAGTAGCTCACACCTGTAATCCCAGCACTTTGGGAGGCTGAGGCGGGCAGATCACCTGAGGCTAGGGGTTGGAGACCAGCCAGGCCGACATAGTGAAACCCCATTTCTACTAAAAATAGAAAAATTAAGCCGGGTGCGGTGGCTCATTCCTGTAATCCCAGCACCTTGGGAGGCCAAGGTGGGCGGACCACTTGAGGCCGGGAATTTGAGACCAGCCTGGCCAACATAGTGAAATCTGTCTCTGCTAAAAATACAAAAATTAGCCTGGTGTGGTGGTGCACGTCTGGAATTTCAGCTACTCAGGAAGCTGAGGCAGGAGAATCGCTTGAACCCGGGAGGCGGAGGTTGCAGTGAGCTGAGATCACGCCACTGCACTCCAGCCTAGGCAACAGAGTGAGACTCTGTCTCCAAAAAGAAAAAAAAGAAAAAGAAAAATTAGCCCAGCATAGTGGCGGGCACCTGTTATCCCAACTACTCGGGAGGCTGAGGTGGGAGAATTGCTTGAACCCAGGAGGTGGAGGTTGCAGTGAGCTGAGATTGGGCCACTGCACTCCAGCCTGGGCAACAGAGCAAGACTCGTCTCAAAATAAATAAATAAATAAATATAATATGCTAGCTAATCTTAGTTATCTTTGGCCCTTATTCATTCATTCACTGATCTCCATTATCAAATGTTGACTTATAAGATGCACTTTGAAGACATGTATCAAAAACATTTCTCTTTTTTTTTTTGAGACAGGGTCTGGCTGTGTTGCCCAAGCTGGAGTGTAGAGGCTCCATCACTGTAGCCTCAACTTCCTGTCCTCAAGGTACCCTCCTGCCTCAGTCTGTGGAGTAGCTGGGACTACAAGCACATACTGCCACGCCTGGCTAAATTTTTTAAATTTTTTCTCAAGAAAAGCTGGGGGGTGTGGTCTCACTATATTGCCCAGGCTGGTCTCGAATTTCTGTGCTAAGCCATCCTCTGGCCTTGGCCTCCCAAAGTGCTGGGATTACAGGTGTGAGCCACCACGCCAGGCCTCAGACGTTTGTTTATTCTATAAACATCTCTTGAGCTATTTTTTTCATGGGGGAATTAATCTATCAGTCCAATGCAGTTCCAATCAAATTTCCAACATAATTTTTTCTGGACCTTCACAAACTAATCAAAAGTGTGTATGAAAAAACAAAGGGCAGCGCAGTGGCTCGTGCCTGTAATCCCAGCACGTTGGGAGGCTAAGGCAGGTGGATCAGTTGAGGTCAGGAGTTCATCACCAGCCTGGCCAACATGGTAAAACCCCATCTCTACTAAAATACAAAAATTAGCCAGGCATGGTGGTGCACACCTGTAATCCCAGCTACTCAGAAGGCTGTGGCAAGAGAATCCTTGAACCCGGGAGACAAATGTTGCAGTGAGCCAAGATCATACCACTGAATTCCAGCCTGGGTGACAGAGCGAGACTTTGTCTCAAAAAAAAAAAAAAATACAAAAAACAAAAAAAAACCACCACTTTAAGGCAAAGCATAGCCAAAACATTCTTGAAGAAGAAAAATGTGTTTCAAGGACGCACCCTTCCATGTCAACATGTATTATAAAGCTATACAAATTAAGACCATGTGATATTGGAATAGGGAAAGGCAGAGGGGGAAATGGAACCACCTACAGAGCCCAAACATGCAGGCATCTATGAAATGAGGTATGGCTGGAATTATAGTTCAGTGAGGGAAGATAGAGTATTCAGTACATGGGCTGGAACAACCAGTTACCTGTTGGATCCCCTATGCAAAAACTAATTCAAGGTAGGTTAAAGACTTACAGGGGAAATTAAAGCATTTTAAAATTACAACTTTTTTTTTCTTCTTACTATCGTTCCCCAAAATTATAACTTTTACAAGAAAAGAAAACATCCTTATGATCTCAGGGTAGGGTTTATTAAGTGCCATAATCACAAACTGTAAATAAAACTTTGATAAATTTAAACTACATTAAATTTAAGCACTTGTCTTTATTGAAAGACAGCATAGACTGAGCACAGTGGCTTATCCCTGTAACCACGACAGTTTGGGAGGCCAAGGCAGGAGAATCGCTTGAAGCTGGGAGTTAGAGACCAGCCTGAGCAACATAGCCAGACCCTATGAGATTACAGAAAAATTAAAAATTAGCTGGGCATGGTGGCGCATGCCTGTAGTCCCAGCTACTCTGGAGGCCAGGGAGGGAGGATCTTGAGCCCAGGAGTTCAAGGCTGCAGTGAGCTTTGATGAGTCTTGCCACTGCACTCCAGCTGGGCAACAGAGAGAGAGCTAAACCCGGTCACTAAAAAAGAAAAAAAAAGATAATTGCAGCACAGAGGTAGCAGTAGTATAGAGTTAAATAACACAGCCCCCACCATCTAAAGTTTGCAATGTATAGGCATTAAGATAAGAAGATTGATAACTTCCAAATAATGTGAGAAGTGTTAAGATTGAGGTATGAACAAAGTGGCTTAGGAACAGAAAAAAGGGAGCATTAGGCCAGGTGCAGTGGCTCACACCTGTAATCCCAGCACTTAGGGAGGCCAAGGCAGGCAGATCACTTGAGGTCAGGAATTCCAGCCCAGCCTGGCCAACATGGTGAAACCCCGTCTCTACTAAAAATACAAAACTTAGCTGGGCGTGGTGTCACACGCCTGTAGTCCCAGCTGCTCTAGAGGCTAAGGCAGGATACTCGCTTGAACCTAGGAGGCAGAGGTTGCAGTGAGCCGAGATCATGTCACTGCACTCCAGCCTGGGTGACAGAGCAAGACTCCATCTCAAAAAATAATAATAAATTAAAAATAAAATAATAATAAGGGCCAGGCACAGTGGCTCATGCCTAAAATCCCAACTACTCAGGAGGCTCACGTGGGAAGATAACTTGAGCCCAGAAGGTCAAGGGTACAGTGAGGCATGATTGCACCACCACCGCATTCCAGCCTGGGTGACAGAGAAAAACCCAGTCTAAAAAAAAAAATCACCTGGAGAGCTTTAAAAGTCTTCCTGGGCCATAGCTGGCACTAGCACCCCTTCAACTACTGGGAATGGGACTGAGTCATAGGTATTTTGTAGAGCTCCCTGTAGGATTTCAATGCACAGCTGAGGTTAAAAACCCCGATTTAGAGTCAAAGAATCTTATTTGAACTGGGTGACTCACAGCAGGTTTTCTAATTTTGGCAGAGCTTTAGTTTCTGTCTTGATAAAATGGAGTTAATACTATTGTCAGTCCTATCTACCTCAAAGGGCTTGTGAGGATCAAGTGCAATGGTGCAAGTGCTTTGGAAGCTGAATGTTGCTGTTCAGAGGAGTGTCATGACACTGAGAAGAAAATCCAAACTCTTTGCCTGATGTGGGGAAAAGCAAGAGAGATCAGATTGTTACTGTGTCTGTGTAGAAAGAAATAGACATGGGAGACTCCATTTTGTTATGTACTAAGAAAAATTCTTCTGCCTTGAGATTCTGTGACCTTACCCCTAACCCCGTGCTCTCTGAAACATGTGCTGTGTCAAACTCAGGGTTAAATGGATTAAGGGCGGTGCAAGATGTGCTTTGTTAAACAGATGCTTGAAGGCAGCATGCTCCTTAAGAGTCATCACCACTCCCTAATCTCAAGTACCCAGGGACACAAAAACTGCGGAAGGCCGCAGGGACCTCTGCCTAGGAAAGCCAGGTATTGTCCAAGTTTTCTCCCCATGTGATAGTCTGAAATATGGCCTCGTGGGAAGGGAAAGACCTGACCGTCCCCCAGCCCAACTCCTGTAAAGGGTCTGTGCTGAGGAGGATTAGTATAAGAGGAAGGCATGCCTCTTGCAGTTGAGACAAGAGGAAGGCATCTGTCTCCTGCCCGTCCCTGGGCAATGGAATGTCTCGGTATAAAACCCGATTGTACGTTCCATCTACTGAGATAGGGGAAAAGCGCCTTAGGGCTGGAGGTGGGACATGCGGGCAGCAATACTGCTTTGTAAAGCATTGAGATGTTTATGTGTATGCATATCTAAAAGCACAGCACTTAATCCTTTACCTTGTCTATGATGCAAAGACCTTTGTTCACGTGTTTGTCTGCTGACCCTCTCCCCACTATTGTCTTGTGACCCTGACACATCCCCCTCTCGGAGAAACACCCACGAATGATCAATAAATACTAAGAAAACTCAGAGGCTGGCGGGATCCTCCATATGCTGAACGCTGGTCCCCAGGGTCCCCTTATTTCTTTCTCTATACTTTGTCTCTGTGTCTTTTTCTTTTCCAAGTCTCTCGTTCCACCTTACGAGAAACACCCACAGGTGTGGAGGGGCAACCCACCCCTTCAGCCTGACCCTCCTGGCTCCCCAGAGGCTGGCTCCACTCCCTCTCTCCAGCCTCATTTCCCACCCTTCTCTTCCCTGGCTCACTCCACTCCAACCGCATCAGCTTCCTTTCTGTTCTCAATCTGCCAAGCTGGCTGCTATCTGGGCAGCCGTTACACTTGCTATTCCCCCATATCTTCAATGGTCTGCTCCATCCTGGCAATTTGTTCTCTGCTAATGTTACTCTCCAGAGAGGTCATCCCCAATTACCCCTATCTCCCCACTCACCCCCACATTCCCTGAGACACACTCTACCTCCTTACACTGTTTTATTTATAAAATTTATTTAAAATCACTTATCAATACTTGAATTTTGTGGGGAGGGGGCAGTTTGGTACAGATGTTCTTTATCTTGGTGGACCTTATGTCCGAATATAAATGATTAAAGCTCAGATCATTTCTTCTTCATGTCTTCCCATGTTACAACAGTGGTACAGGCTTAATGTGAAGACTCAAACTTGCTTTGTTGTTGTTGTTGTTGTTGTTATTGTTGTTTTTGAGACCGAGTCTCATTCTGTCACCCAGGCTGGAGTGCAACGGCACCATCTCGGCTCACTGCAACCTCTGCCTCCCCGGTTCAAGCGATTCTCCTGCCTCAGCCTCTCAAGTAGCTGGGATCACAGACACCTGCCACCACGCCCGCCTGATTTTTTGTATTTTTAGTAGAGACAGGGTTTCGCCATGTTGGCCAGGCTGGTCTCAAACTCCTGGCCTCAAATGATCCATCCGCTTTAGCCTCCCAAAGTGCTGGGATTACAGACATGAGCCACCACAGCCAGCTTATGATGTGAAGAGTCAGACTTGTATTTTCTTTTTTTTTTTTGGAGATGGAGTCTCACTCTGTTGCCCAGGCTGGAGTGCATCGGCACAAACTCGGCTCACTGCAACTTCCGCCTCCCAAGTTCAAGTAATTCCCCTGCCTCAGCCTCCCGAGTAACTGGGATTACAGGCATGCACCACCATGCCTGGCTAATTTTTGTATTTTAGTCGAGACTGGGTTTCACCATGTTAGCCAGGCTGGTCTCAAACTCCTGACCTCAGGTGATCCGCCCGCCTCAGCCTCTCAAAGTGCTGGGATTACAGGTGTGAGCCACAGTGCCCAGCC